>NC_000023.11:60211097-60380602 GCF_000001405.40 Homo sapiens
AGAGAAGCATTCTCAGAAACTTCTGAGTGATGATTGCATTCAAGTCACACGGTTGAACCCTCCTTTTGATTGAGCAGTTTTGAAACTGTCTTTTTGTAGAATCTGTAAGTGGATGCGTGGACCTCTTTGAAGATTTCTTTCGAAACGGGAATATTTCCACAGAAAAACTAAACTGAAGCATTCTCAGAAACTGCTTTGTGATGTTTGTGTTCGAGCCACAGAGTTTAACATTGCTTTTCATAGAGCAGTTTTGAAATATTCTTTTGGCAGAATCTGCAAGTGGACATTTGGAGCGCTTTCAGGCCTGTGGTGGAAAAGGCCTGAAAGCCTTTTCCTTTATCTTCACAGAAAGACGAGAGAGAAGCATTGTCAGAAACTTCTTTGTGATGATTGCATTCAACTCACAGAGTTGAAGATTCCTTTTGAAACAGCAGTTTCGAAACACTCTTTCTGTGGGATCCGCAAGGGGATATTTGGACCTCTTTGAAGATTTCGTTGGAAACGGGATAATCTTCACCTAAAAGCTAAACGGAAGCATTCTCAGAAACTTCTTTGGGATGTTTGCATTCACCTCACAGAGTTGAACTTTCCCTTTGATAGCGCAGCTTCGACACTCTTTTTCTACAATGTGCAAGTGGATATTTAGCGGGCATGGAGGACTGTGTTGGAAAAGGAAATATCTTCTCCTAAAAACGACATAGAAGCATTCTCAGAAACTGCTCTGTGATGATTGCATTCAACTCCCAGAGTTGAACATTCCTTTTGATAGAGCAGTTTGCAAACACTCTTTTTGTAGAATCTGCAAGTGGAGATTTGGACCGCTTTGAGGCCTGTGGTAGTAAAGGAAAGAACTTCATATAAAAACTAGACGGTAGCACTCTCAGAAAATTCTTTGTGACGATGGAGTTTAACTCAGAGAGCTGAACATTCGTTATGATGGAGCAGTTTCCAAACACACGTTTTGTAGAATCTGCAAGGGGATATTTGGACCTCTCTGAGGATTTCGTTGGAAACGGGATCAACTTCCCATAACTGAACGGAAGCAAACTCAGAACATTCTTTGTGATGTTTGCATTCATCTCACAGAGTTGAACCTTCCTTTGATAGTTGAGGTTTGCAGCACCCTTGTAGGAGAATCTGCAAGTGTATATTTTGACCACTTTGTAGCCTTCGTTTGAAACGTCTATATCTTCACATCAAACCTAGACAGAAGCATTCTCAGAAAGTTTTCTGCGATGACTGCATTCAACTCACAGAGTTGAACAATCCTTTTGATGGAGCAGTTTTGAAACCCTCTTTTTTTGGAATCTGCAAGGTGATATGTGGACCTCTTTGAAGATTTCTCTGGAAACGGGATCATCTTCACATAAGAACTAAACAGAAGCATTCTCGGAAACTACTTTGTGATGTTTGTATTCAACTCCCAGAGTTGAACTTTCCTTTTGAAAGAGCAGCTATGAAACACTCTTTTTCGAGAATCTGCAAGTGGACGTTTGGAGGGCTTTGAGGCCTGTGGTGGAAAAGGAAATATCTTCACATAAAAACTACATAGAAGCATTCTCAGAAACTACTTTGTGAGGATGGCATTCAACTCATGGAGTTGAACAATCCTATTGATAGAGCAGATTGGAATCACTCTTTTTGTAGAATCTGCAAATGGAGATTTGGACTGCTTTGAGGCCTACGGTAGTATAGGAAGGAACTTCATATAAAAGGCAAACGGAAGCATTCTCAGAATATTCTTTGTGATGACGGAGTTTCACTCACAGAGCTGAACATGCCTTTTCATGGAGCAGTTTCCAAATACACTTTTGGTAGAATCTGCAGGTGGATATTTGGAGCTCTCTGAGGATTTCCTTGGAAACGGGAATAATTTCCCATAACTAAACACAAACACGCTGAGAAAGTTCTTCATGATGAATGCATTTAACTCGCAGAGATGAACCTGCCTTTGAGAGTTCAGGTTCGAAACACTCTTTCTGTGGAATCTTCAAGTGGATATTTGGACCACTGGCTGGCCTTCATTCCAAACGGGTATATGTTCACGTAAAAACTAAAGAGAAGCGTTCTCAGAAACTTCTGAGTGATGATTGCATTCAAGTCACACAGTTGAACCCTCCTTTTGATTGAGCAGTTTTGAAACTGTCTTTTTGTAGAATCTGTAAGTGGATGCGTGGACCTCTTTGAAGATTTCTTTGGAAACGGGAATATTTCCACAGAAAAACTAAACTGAAGCATTCTCAGAAACTGCTTTGTGATGTTTGTGTTCGAGTCACAGAGTTTAACATTGCTTTTCATAGAGCAGTTTTGAAATATTCTTTTGGCAGAATCTGCAAGTGGACATTTGGAGCGCTTTCAGGCCTGTGGTGGAAAAGGCCTGAAAGCCTTTTCCTTTATCTTCACAGAAAGACGAGAGAGAAGCATTGTCAGAAACTTCTTTGTGATGATTGCATTCAACTCACAGAGTTGAAGATTCCTTTTGAAACAGCAGTTTCGAAACACTCTTTCTGTGGGATCCGCAAGGGGATATTTGGATCTCTTTGAAGGTTTCGTTGGAAACTGGATAATCGTCACCTAAAAGCTAAACGGAAGCATTCTCAGAAACTTCTTTGGGATGTTTGCATTCACCTCACAGAGTTGAACTTTCCCTTTGATAGCGCAGCTTCGACACACTTTTTCTACAATGTGCAAGTGGATATTTAGCGGGCTTGGAGGACTGTGTTGGAAAAGGAAATATCTTCTCCTAAAAACGACATAGAAGCATTCTCAGAAACTGCTCTGTGATGATTGCATTCAACTCCCAGAGTTGAACATTCCTTTTGATAGAGCAGTTTGCAAACACTCTTTTTGTAGAATCTGCAAGTGGAGATTTGGACCGCTTTGAGGCCTGTGGTAGTAAAGGAAAGAACTTCATATAAAAACTAGACGGTAGCAGTCTCAGAAAATTGTTTGTGACGATGGAGTTTAACTCAGAGAGCTGAACATTCGTTATGATGGAGCAGTTTCCAAACACACGTTTTGTAGAATCTGCAAGGGGATATTTGGACCTCTCTGAGGATTTCGTTGGAAACGGGATCAACTTCCCATAACTGAACGGAAGCAAACTCAGAACATTCTTTGTGATGTTTGCATTCATCTCACAGAGTTGAACCTTCCTTTGATAGTTGAGGTTTGCATCACCCTTGTAGTAGAATCTGCAAGTGTATATTTTGACCACTTTGTAGCCTTCGTTTGAAACGTCTATATCTTCACATCAAACCTAGACAGAAGCATTCTCAGAAAGTTTTCTGCGATGACTGCATTCAACTCACAGAGTTGAACAATCCTTTTGATGGAGCAGTTTTGAAACCCTCTTTTTTTGGAATCTGCAAGGGGATATGTGGACCTCTTTGAAGATTTCACTGGAAACGGGATCATCTTCACATAAGAACTAAACAGAAGCATTCTCGGAAACTACTTTGTGATGTTTGTATTCAACTCCCAGAGTTGAACTTTCCTTTTGAAAGAGCAGCTATGAAACACTCTTTTTCGAGAATATGCAAGTGGACGTTTGGAGGGCTTTGAGGCCTGTGGTGGAAAAGGAAATATCTTCACATAAAAACTACATAGAAGCATTCTCAGAAACGACTTTGTGAGGATGGCATTCAACTCATGGACTTGAACAATCCTATTGATAGAGCAGATTGGAATCACTCTTTTTGTAGAATCTGCAAATGGAGATTTGGACTGCTTTGAGGCCTACGGTAGTATAGGAAGGAACTTCATATAAAAGGCAAATGGAAGCATTCTCAGAATATTCTTTGTGATGACGGAGTTTCACTCACAGAGCTGAACATGCCTTTTCATGGAGCAGTTTCCAAATACACTTTTGGTACAATCTGCAGGTGGATATTTGGAGCTCTCTGAGGATTTCGTTGGAAACGGGAATAATTTCCCATAACTAAACACAAACACGCTGAGAAAGTTCTTCATGATGAATGCATTTAACTCGCAGAGATGAACCTGCCTTTGAGAGTTCAGGTTCAAAACACTCTTTCTGTAGAATCTGCAAGTGGATATTTGGACCACTGGCTGGCCTTCATTCGAAACGGGTATATGTTCACGTAAAAACTAAAGAGAAGCGTTCTCAGAAACTTCTGAGTGATGAATGCATTCAAGTCACACAGTTGAACCCTCCTTTTGATTGAGCAGTTTTGAAACTGTCTTTTTGTAGAATCTGTAAGTGGATGCGTGGACCTCTTTGAAGATTTCTTTGGAAACGGGAATATTTCCACAGAAAAACTAAACTGAAGCATTCTCAGAAACTGCTTTGTGATGTTTGTGTTCGAGCCGCAGAGTTTAACATTGCTTTTCATAGAGCAGTTTTGAAATATTCTTTTGGCAGAATCTGCAAGTGGACATTTGGAGCGCTTTCAGGCCTGTGGTGGAAAAGGCCTGAAAGCCTTTTCCTTTATCTTCACAGAAAGACGAGAGAGAAGCATTGTCAGAAACTTCTTTGTGATGATTGCATTCAACTCACAGAGTTGAAGATTCCTTTTGAAACAGCAGTTTCGAAACACTCTTTCTGTGGGATCCGCAAGGGGATATTTGGATCTCTTTGAAGGTTTCGTTGGAAACTGGATAATCGTCACCTAAAAGCTAAACGGAAGCATTCTCAGAAACTTCTTTGGGATGTTTGCATTCACCTCACAGAGTTGAACTTTCCCTTTGATAGCGCAGCTTCGACACACTTTTTCTACAATGTGCAAGTGGATATTTAGCGGGCTTGGAGGACTGTGTTGGAAAAGGAAATATCTTCTCCTAAAAACGACATAGAAGCATTCTCAGAAACTGCTCTGTGATGATTGCATTCAACTCCCA
The DNA here is from genome assembly GCF_000001405.40 of Homo sapiens. Lineage (NCBI taxonomy): Eukaryota > Metazoa > Chordata > Mammalia > Primates > Hominidae > Homo > Homo sapiens. The sequence continues at coordinate 60,215,958 of NC_000023.11, forward strand.
GAGTTGAACATTCCTTTTGATAGAGCAGTTTGCAAACACTCTTTTTGTAGAATCTGCAAGTGGAGATTTGGACCGCTTTGAGGCCTGTGGTAGTAAAGGAAAGAACTTCATATAAAAACTAGACGGTAGCACTCTCAGAAAATTCTTTCTGACGATGGAGTTTAACTCAGAGAGCTGAACATTCGTTATGATGGAGCAGTTTCCAAACACACGTTTTGTAGAATCTGCAAGGGGATATTTGGACCTCTCTGAGGATTTCGTTGGAAACGGGATCAACTTCCCATAACTGAACGGAAGCAAACTCAGAACATTCTTTGTGATGTTTGTATTCAACTCACAGAGTTGAACCTTCCTTTGATAGTTCAGGTTTGCATCACCCTTGTAGTAGAATCTGCAAGTGTATATGTTGACCACTATGTAGCCTTCGTTTGAAACGTCTATATCTTCACATCAAACCTAGACAGAAGCATTCTCAGAAAGTTTTCTGCGATGACTGCATTCAACTCACAGAGTTGAACAATCTTTTTGATGGAGCAGTTTTGAAACCCTCTTTCTTTGGAATCTGCAAGGGGATATGTGGACCTCTTTGAAGATTTCACTGGAAACGGGATCATCTTCACATAAGAACTAAACAGAAGCATTCTCGGAAACTACTTTGTGATGTTTGTATTCAGCTCCCAGAGTTGAACTTCCCTTTTGAAAGAGCAGCTATGAAGCACTCTTTTTCGAGAATCTGCAAGTGGACGTTTGGAGGGCTTTGAGGCCTGTGGTGGAAAAGGAAATATCTTCACATAAAAACTAGATAGAAGCATTCTCAGAAACTACTTTGTGAGGATGGCATTCAACTCATGGAGTTGAACAGTCCTATTGATAGAGCAGATTGGAATCACTCTTTTTGTAGAATCTGCAAATGGAGATTTGGACTGCTTTGAGGCCTACGGTAGTATAGGAAGGAACTTCATATAAAAGGCAAACGGAAGCATTCTCAGAATATTCTTTGTGATGATGGAGTTTCACCCACAGAGCTGAACATGCCTTTTGATGGAGCAGTTTCCAAATACACTTTTGGTAGAATCTGCAGGTGGATATTTGGAGCTCTCTGAGGATTTCGTTGGAAACGGGAATAATTTCCCATAACTAAACACAAACACGCTGAGAAAGTTCTTCATGATGAATGCATTGAACTCGCAGAGATGAACCTGCCTTTGAGAGTTCAGGTTCGAAACACTCTTTCTGTAGAATCTGCAAGTGGATATTTGGACCACTGGCTGGCCTTCGTTCGATACGGGTATATGTTCACGTAAAAACTAAAGAGAAGCGTTCTCAGAAACTTCTGAGTGATGATTGCATTCAAGTCACACAGTTGAACCCTCCTTTTGATTGAGCAGTTTTGAAACTGTCTTTTTGTAGAATCTGTAAGTGGATGCGTGGACCTCTTTGAAGATTTCTTTGGAAACAGGAATATTTCCACAGAAAAACTAAACTGAAGCATTCTCTGAAACTGCTTTGTGATGTTTGTGTTCGAGCCGCAGAGTTTAACATTGCTTTTCATAGAGCAGTTTTGAAATATTCTTTTGGAAGAATCTGCAAGTGGACATTTGGAGCGCTTTCAGGCCTGTGGGTGGAAAAGGCCTGAAAGCCTTTTCCTTTATCTTCACAGAAAGACGAGAGAGAAGCATTGTCAGAAACTTCTTTGTGATGATTGCATTCAACTCACAGAGTTGAAGATTCCTTTTGAAACAGCAGTTTCGAAACACTCTTTCTGTGGGATCCGCAAGGGGATATTTGGACCTCTTTGAAGGTTTCGTTGGAAACGGGATAATCTTCACCTAAAAGCTAAACGGAAGCATTCTCAGAAACTTCTTTGGGATGTTTGCATTCACCTCACAGAGTTGAACTTTCCCTTTGATAGCGCAGCTTTGACACACTTTTTCTACAATGTGCAAGTGGCTATTTAGCGGGCTTGGAGGACTGTGTTGGAAAAGGAAATATCTTCTCCTAAAAACGACATAGAAGCATTCTCAGAAACTGCTCTGTGATGATTGCATTCAACTCCCAGAGTTGAACATTCCTTTTGATAGAGCAGTTTGCAAACACTCTTTTTGTAGAATCTGCAAGTGGAGATTTGGACCGCTTTGAGGCCTGTGGTAGTGAAGGAAAGAACTTCATATAAAAACCAGACGGTAGCACTCTCAGAAAATTCTTTGTGACGATGGAGTTTAACTCAGGGAGCTGAACATTCGTTATGATGGAGCAGTTTCCAAACACACGTTTTGTAGAATCTGCGAGGGGATATTTGGACCTCTCTGAGGATTTCGTTGGAAACGGGATCAACTTCCCATAACTGAACGGAAGCAAACTCAGAACATTCTTTGTGATGTTTGTATTCAACTCACAGAGTTGAACCTTCCTTTGATAGTTCAGGTTTGCAACACCCTTGTAGTAGAATCTGCAAGTGTATATTTTGACCACTTTGTAGCCTTCGTTTGAAACGTCTATATCTTCACATCAAACCTAGACAGAAGCATTCTCAGAAAGTTTTCTGCGATGACTGCATTCAACTCACAGAGTTGAACAATCCTTTTGATGGAGCAGTTTTGAAACCCTCTTTCTTTGGAATCTGCAAGGGGATATGTGGACCTCTTTGAAGATTTCACTGGAAACGGGATCATCTTCACATAAAAACTAAACAGAAGCATTCTCGGAAACTATTTTGTGATGTTTGTATTCAACTCCCAGAGTTGAACTTTCCTTTTGAAAGAGCAGCTATGAAACACTCTTTTTCGAGAATCTGCAAGTGGACGTTTGGAGGGCTTTGAGGCCTGTGGTGGAAAAGGAAATATCTTCACACAAAAACCAGATAGAAGCATTCTCAGAAACTGCTTTGTGAGGATGGCATTCAACTCATGGAGTTGAACAATCCTATTGATAGAGCAGATTGGAATCACTCTTTTTGTAGAATCTGCAAATGGAGATTTGGACTGCTTTGAGGCCTACGGTAGTACAGGAAGGAACTTCATATAAAACGCAAACGGAAGCATTCTCAGAATATTCTTTGTGATGATGGAGTTTCACTCACAGAGCTGAACATGCCTTTTGATGGAGCAGTTTCCAAATACACTTTTGGTAGAATCTGCAGGTGGATATTTGGAGCTCTCTGAGGATTTCGTTGGAAACGGGAATAATTTCCCATAACTAAACACAAACACTCTGAGAAAGTTCTTCATGATGAATGCATTTAACTCGCAGAGATGAACCTGCCTTTGAGAGTTCAGGTTCGAAACACTCTTTCTGTATAATCTGCAAGTGGATATTTGGACCACTGGGTGGCCTTCGTTCGAAACGGGTATATGTTCACGTAAAAACTAAAGAGAAGCATTCTCAGAAACTTCTGAGTGATGATTGCATTCAAGTCACACAGTTGAACCCTCCTTTTGATGGAGCAGTTTTGAAACTGTCTTTTTGTAGAATCTGTAAGTGGATACGTGGACCTCTTTGAAGATTTCTTTGGAAACGGGAATATTTCCACAGAAAAACTAAACTGAAGCATTCTCAGAAACTGCTTTGTGATGTTTGTGTTCGAGCCACAGAGTTTAACATTGCTTTTCATAGAGCAGTTTTGAAATATTCTTTTCGCAGAATCTGCAAGTGGACATTTGGAGCGCTTTCAGGCCTGTGGTGGAAAAGGCCTGAAAGCCTTTTCCTTTATCTTCACAGAAAGACGAGAGAGAAGCATTGTCAGAAACTTCTTTGTGATGATTGCATTCAACTCACAGAGTTGAAGATTCCTTTTGAAACAGCAGTTTCGAAACACTCTTTCTGTGGGATCCGCAAGGGGATATTTGGACCTCTTTGAAGATTTCGTTGGAAACGGGATAATCTTCACCTAAAAGCTAAACGGAAGCATTCTCAGAAACTTCTTTGGGATGTTTGCATTCACCTCACAGAGTTGAACTTTCCCTTTGATAGCGCAGCTTTGACACACTTTTTCTACAATGTGCAAGTGGATATTTAGCGGGCTTGGAGGACTGTGTTGGAAAAGGAAATATCTTCTCCTAAAAACGACATAGAAGCATTCTCAGAAACTGCTCTGTGATGATTGCATTCAACTCCCAGAGTTGAACATTCCTTTTGATAGAGCAGTTTGCAAACACTCTTTTTGTAGAATCTGCAAGTGGAGATTTGGACCGCTTTGAGGCCTGTGGTAGTAAAGGAAAGAACTTCATATAAAAACTAGACGGTAGCACTATCAGAAAATTCTTTGTGACGATGGAGTTTAACTCAGAGAGCTGAACATTCTTTATGATGGAGCAGTTTCCAAACACACGTTTTGTAGAATCTGCAAGGGGATATTTGGACCTCTCTGAGGATTTCGTTGGAAACGGGATCAACTTCCCATAACTGAACGGAAGCAAACTCAGAACATTCTTTGTGATGTTTGTATTCAACTCACAGAGTTGAACCTTCCTTTGATAGTTGAGGTTTGCAACACCCTTGTAGTAGAATCTGCAAGTGTATATTTTGACCACTTTGTAGCGTTCGTTTGAAACGTCTATATCTTCACATCAAACCTAGACAGAAGCATTCTCAGAAAGTTTTCTGCGATGACTGCATTCAACTCACAGAGTTGAACAATCCTTTTGATGGAGCAGTTTTGAAACCCTCTTTCTTTGGAATCTGCAAGGGGATATGTGGACCTCTTTGAAGATTTCACTGGAAACGGGATCATCTTCACATAAGAACTAAACAGAAGCATTCTCGGAAACTACTTTGTGATGTTTGTATTCAACTCCCAGAGTTGAACTTCCCTTTTGAAAGAGCAGCTATGAAACACTCTTTTTCGAGAATCTGCAAGTGGACGTTTGGAGGGCTTTGAGGCCTGTGGTGGAAAAGGAAATATCTTCACATAAAAACTAGATAGAAGCATTCTCAGAAACGACTTTGTGAGGATGGCATTCAACTCATGGAGTTGAACAATCCTATTGATAGAGCAGATTGGAATCACTCTTTTTGTAGAATCTGCAAATGGAGATTTCGACTGCTTTGAGGCCTACGGTCGTATAGGAAGGAACTTCATATAAAAGGCAAACGGAAGCATTCTCAGAATATTCTTTGTGATGATGGAGTTTCACTCACAGAGCTGAACATGCCTGTTGATGGAGCAGTTTCCAAATACACTTTTGGTAGAATCTGCAGGTGGATATTTGGACCTCTCAGAGGATTTCGTTGGAAACGGGAGTAATTTCCCATAACTAAACACAAACACGCTGAGAAAGTTCTTCATGACGAATACATTTAACTTTCAGAGATGATCCTGCCTTTGAGAGTTCATGTTCGAAACACTCTTTCTCTAGAATCTGCAAGTGGATATTTGGACCACTGGGTGGCCTTCGTTCGAAACGGGTATATGTTCACGTAAAAACTAAAGAGAAGCATTCTCAGAAACTTCTGAGTGATGATTGCTTTCAAGTCACACAGTTGAACCCTCCTTTTGATGGAGCAGTTTTGAAACTGTCTTTTTGTAGGATCTGTAAGTGGATACGTGGACCTCTTTGAGGATTTCTTTGGAAACGGGAATATTTCCACAGAAAAACTAAACTGAAGCATTCTCAGAAACTGCTTTGTGATGTTTGTGTTCGAGCCGCAGAGTTTAACATTGCTTTTCATAGAGCAGTTTTGAAATATTCTTTTGGCAGAATCTGCAAGTGGACATTTGGAGCGCTTTCAGGCCTGTGGTGGAAAAGGCCTGAAAGCCTTTTCCTTTATCTTCACAGAAAGATGAGGGAGAAGCATTGTCAGAAACTTCGTGGTGATGATTGCATTCAACTCACAGAGTTGAAGATTCCTTTTGAAACAGCAGTTTCGAAACACTCTTTCTGTGGGATCCGCAAGGGGATATTTGGACCTCTTTGAAGATTTCGTTGGAAACGGGATAATCTTCACCTAAAAGCTGAAAGGAAGCATTCTCAGAAACTTCTTTGGGATGTTTTCACTCTCCTCACAGAGTTGAACTTTCCCTTTGATAGCGCAGCTTTGACACACTTTTTCTACAATGTGCAAGTGGATATTTAGCGGGCTTGGAGGACTGTGTTGGAAAAGGAAATATCTTCTCCTAAAAACGACATAGAAGCATTCTCAGAAACTGCTCTGTGATGATTGCATTCAACTCCCAGAGTTGAACATTCCTTTTGATAGAGCAGTTTGCAAACACTCTTTTTGTAGAATCTGCAAGTGGAGATTTGGACCGCTTTGAGGCCTGTGGTAGTGAAGGAAAGAACTTCATATAAAAACCAGACGGTAGCACTCTCAGAAAATTCTTTGTGACGATGGAGTTTAACTCAGGGAGCTGAACATTCGTTATGATGGAGCAGTTTCCAAACACACGTTTTGTAGAATCTGCGAGGGGATATTTGGACCTCTCTGAGGATTTCGTTGGAAACGGGATCAACTTCCCATAACTGAACGGAAGCAAACTCAGAACATTCTTTGTGATGTTTGTATTCAATTCACAGAGTTGAACCTTCCTTTGATAGTTCAGGTTTGCAACACCCTTGTAGTAGAATCTGCAAGTGTATATTTTGACCATGTTGTAGCCTTCGTTTGAAACGTCTATATCTTCACATCAAACCTAGACAGAAGCATTCTCAGAAAGTTTTCTGCGATGACTGCATTCAACTCACAGAGTTGAACAATCCTTCTGATGGAGCAGTTTTTAAACCCTCTTTCTTTGGAATCTGCAAGGGGATATGTGGACCTCTTTGAAGATTTCACTGGAAACGGGATCATCTTCACATAAAAACTAAACAGAAGCATTCTCGGAAACTATTTTGTGATGTTTGTATTCAACTCCCAGAGTTGAACTTTCCTTTTGAAAGAGCAGCTATGAAACACTCTTTTTCGAGAATCTGCAAGTGGACGTTTGGAGGGCTTGGAGGCCTGTGGTGGAAAAGGAAATACCTTCACATAAAAACTAGATAGAAGCATTCTCAGAAACTACTTTGTGAGGATGGCATTCAACTCATGGAGTTGAACAATCCTATTGATAGAGCAGATTGGAATCACTCTTTTTGTAGAATCTGCAAATGGAGATTTGGACTGCTTTGAGGCCTACGGTCGTATAGGAAGGAACTTCATATAAAAGGCAAACGGAAGCATTCTCAGAATATTCTTTGTGATGATGGAGTTTCACTCACAGAGCTGAACATGCCTTTTGATGGAGCAGTTTCCAAATACACTTTTGGTAGAATCTGCAGGTGGATATTTGGAGCTCTCTGAGGATTTCGTTGGAAACGGGAATAATTTCCCATAACTAAACACAAACACTCTGAGAAAGTTCTTCATGATGAATGCATTTAACTCGCAGAGATGAACCTGCCTTTGAGAGTTCAGGTTCGAAACACTCTTTCTGTAGAATCTGCAAGTGGATATTTGGACCACTGGCTGGCCTTCGTTCGAAACGGGTATATGTTCACGTAAAAACTAAAGAGAAGCATTCTCAGAAACTTCTGAGTGATGATTGCATTCAAGTCACACAGTTGAACCCTCCTTTTGATGGAGCAGTTTTGAAACTGTCTTTTTGTAGAATCTGTAAGTGGATACGTGGACCTCTTTGAAGATTTCTTTGGAAACGGGAATATTTCCACAGAAAAACTAAACTGAAGCATTCTCAGAAACTGCTTTGTGATGTTTGTGTTCGAGCCACAGAGTTTAACATTGCTTTTCATAGAGCAGTTTTGAAATATTCTTTTGGCAGAATCTGCAAGTGGACATTTGGAGCGCTTTCAGGCCTGTGGTGGAAAAGGCCTGAAAGCCTTTTCCTTTATCTTCACAGAAAGACGAGAGAGAAGCATTGTCAGAAACTTCTTTGTGATGATTGCATTCAACTCACAGAGTTGAAGATTCCTTTTGAAACAGCAGTTTCGAAACACTCTTTCTGTGGGATCCGCAAGGGGATATTTGGACCTCTTTGAAGGTTTCGTTGGAAACGGGATAATCTTCACCTAAAAGCTCAACGGAAGCATTCTCAGAAACTTCTTTGGGATGTTTGCATTCACCTCACAGAGTTGAACTTTCCCTTTGATAGCGCAGCTTTGACACACTTTTTCTACAATGTGCAAGTGGCTATTTAGCGGGCTTGGAGGACTGTGTTGGAAAAGGAAATATCTTCTCCTAAAAACGACATAGAAGCATTCTCAGAAACTGCTCTGTGATGATTGCATTCAACTCCCAGAGTTGAACATTCCTTTTGATAGAGCAGTTTGCAAACACTCTTTTTGTAGAATCTGCAAGTGGAGATTTGGACCGCTTTGAGGCCTGTGGTAGTGAAGGAAAGAACTTCATATAAAAACCAGACGGTAGCACTCTCAGAAAATTCTTTGTGACGATGGAGTTTAACTCAGGGAGCTGAACATTCGTTATGATGGAGCAGTTTCCAAACACACGTTTTGTAGAATCTGCAAGGGGATATTTGGACCTCTCTGAGGATTTCGTTGGAAACGGGATCAACTTCCCATAACTGAACGGAAGCAAACTCAGAACATTCTTTGTGATGTTTGTATTCAACTCACAGAGTTGAACCTTCCTTTGATAGTTCAGGTTTGCAACACCCTTGTAGTAGAATCTGCAAGTGTATATTTTGACCACTTTGTAGCCTTCGTTTGAAACGTCTATATCTTCACATCAAACCTAGACAGAAGCATTCTCAGAAAGATTTCTGCGATGACTGCATTCAACTCACAGAGTTGAACAATCCTCTGATGGAGCAGTTTTGAAACCCTCTTTCTTTGGAATCTGCAAGGGGATATGTGGACCTCTTTGAAGATTTCACTGGAAACGGGATCATCTTCACATAAAAACTAAACAGAAGCATTCTCGGAAACTATTTTGTGATGTTTGTATTCAACTCCCAGAGTTGAACTTTCCTTTTGAAAGAGCAGCTATGAAACACTCTTTTTCGAGAATCTGCAAGTGGACGTTTGGAGGGCTTTGAGGCCTGTGGTGGAAAAGGAAATATCTTCACACAAAAACCAGATAGAAGCATTCTCAGAAACTACTTTGTGAGGATGGCATTCAACTCATGGAGTTGAACAATCCTATTGATAGAGCAGATTGGAATCACTCTTTTTATAGAATCTGCAAATGGAGATTTGGACTGCTTTGAGGCCTACGGTAGTACAGGAAGGAACTTCATATAAAAGGCAAACGGAAGCATTCTCAGAATATTCTTTGTGATGATGGAGTTTCACTCACAGAGCTGAACATGCCTTTTGATGGAGCAGTTTCCAAATACACTTTTGGTAGAATCTGCAGGTGGATATTTGGAGCTCTCTGAGGATTTCGTTGGAAACGGGAATAATTTCCCATAACTAAACACAAACACTCTGAGAAAGTTCTTCATGATGAATGCATTTAACTCGCAGAGATGAACCTGCCTTTGAGAGTTCAGGTTCGAAACACTCTTTCTGTATAATCTGCAAGTGGATATTTGGACCACTGGGTGGCCTTCGTTCGAAACGGGTATATGTTCACGTAAAAACTAAAGAGAAGCATTCTCAGAAACTTCTGAGTGATGATTGCATTCAAGTCACACAGTTGAACCCTCCTTTTGATGGAGCAGTTTTGAAACTGTCTTTTTGTAGAATCTGTAAGTGGATACGTGGACCTCTTTGAAGATTTCTTTGGAAACGGGAATATTTCCACAGAAAAACTAAACTGAAGCATTCTCAGAAACCGCTTTGTGATGTTTGTGTTCGAGCCACAGAGTTTAACATTGCTTTTCATAGAGCAGTTTTGAAATATTCTTTTGGCAGAATCTGCAAGTGGACATTTGGAGCGCTTTCAGGCCTGTGGTGGAAAAGGCCTGAAAGCCTTTTCCTTTATCTTCACAGAAAGACGAGAGAGAAGCATTGTCAGAAACTTCTTTGTGATGATTGCATTCAACTCACAGAGTTGAAGATTCCTTTTGAAACAGCAGTTTCGAAACACTCTTTCTGTGGGATCCGCAAGGGGATATTTGGACCTCTTTGAAGGTTTCGTTGGAAACGGGATAATCTTCACCTAAAAGCTAAACGGAAACATTCTCAGAAACTTCTTTGGGATGTTTGCATTCACCTCACAGAGTTGAACTTTCCCTTTGATAGCGCAGCTTTGACACACTTTTTCTACAATGTGCAAGTGGCTATTTAGCGGGCTTGGAGGACTGTGTTGGAAAACGAAATATCTTCTCCTAAAAACGACATAGAAGCATTCTCAGAAACTGCTCTGTGATGATTGCATTCAACTCCCAGAGTTGAACATTCCTTTTGATAGAGCAGTTTGCAAACACTCTTTTTGTAGAATCTGCAAGTGGAGATTTGGACCGCTTTGAGGCCTGTGGTAGTGAAGGAAAGAACTTCATATAAAAACCAGACGGTAGCACTCTCAGAAAATTCTTTGTGACGATGGAGTTTAACTCAGGGAGCTGAACATTCGTTATGATGGAGCAGTTTCCAAACACACGTTTTGTAGAATCTGCGAGGGGATATTTGGACCTCTCTGAGGATTTCTTTGGAAACGGGATCAACTTCCCATAACTGAACGGAAGCAAACTCAGAACATTCTTTGTGATGTTTGTATTCAACTCACAGAGTTGAACCTTCCTTTGATAGTTCAGGTTTGCAACACCCTTGTAGTAGAATCTGCAAGTGTATATTTTGACCACTTTGTAGCCTTCGTTTGAAACGTCTATATCTTCACATCAAACCTAGACAGAAGCATTCTCAGAAAGTTTTCTGCGATGACTGCATTCAACTCACAGAGTTGAACAATCCTTCTGATGGAGCAGTTTTGAAACCCTCTTTCTTTGGAATCTGCAAGGGGATATGTGGACCTCTTTGAAGATTTCACTGGAAACGGGATCATCTTCACATAAAAACTAAACAGAAGCATTCTCGGAAACTACTTTGTGATGTTTGTATTCAACTGCCAGAGTTGAACTTTCCTTTTGAAAGAGCAGCTATGAAACACTCTTTTTCGAGAATCTGCAAGTGGACGTTTGGAGGGCTTTGAGGCCTGTGGTGGAAAAGGAAATATCTTCACATAAAAACTAGATAGAAGCATTCTCAGAAACTACTTTGGAAGATGGCATTCAACTCATGGAGTTGAACAATCCTATTGATAGAGCAGATTGGAATCACTCTTTTTGTAGAATCTGCAAATGGAGATTTGGACTGCTTTGAGGCCTACGGTCGTATAGGAAGGAACTTCATATAACAGGCAAACGGAAGCATTCTCAGAATATTCTTTGTGATGATGGAGTTTCACTCACAGAGCTGAACATGCCTTTTGATGGAGCAGTTTCCAAATACACTTTTGGTAGAATCTGCAGGTGGATATTTGGAGCTCTTTGAGGATTTCGTTGGAAACGGGAATAATTTCCCATAACTAAACACAAACACGCTGAGAAAGTTCTTCATGATGAATGCATTTAACTCGCAGAGATGAACCTGCCTTTGAGAGTTCAGGTTCGAAACACTCTTTCTGTAGAATCTGCAAGTGGATATTTGGACCACTGGGTGGCCTTCGTTCGAAACGGGTATATGTTCACGTAAAAACTAAAGAGAAGCATTCTCAGCAAACTTCTGAGTGATGATTGCATTCAAGTCACACGGTTGAACCCTCCTTTTGATGGAGCAGTTTTGAAACTGTCTTTTTGTAGAATCTGTAAGTGGATACGTGGACCTCTTTGAAGATTTCTTTGGAAACGGGAATATTTCCACAGAAAAACTAAACTGAAGCATTCTCAGAAACTGCTTTGTGATGTTTGTGTTCGAGCCACAGAGTTTAACATTGCTTTTCATAGAGCAGTTTTGAAATATTCTTTTGGCAGAATCTGCAAGTGGACATTTGGAGCGCTTTCAGGCCTGTGGTGGAAAAGGCCTGAAAGCCTTTTCCTTTATCTTCACAGAAAGACGAGAGGGAAGCATTGTCAGAAACTTCTTTTTGATGATTGCATTCAACTCACAGAGTTGAAGATTCCTTTTGAAACAGCAGTTTCGAAACACTCTTTCTGTGGGATCCGCAAGGGGATATTTGGACCTCTTTGAAGGTTTCGTTGGAAACGGGATAATCTTCACCTAAAAGCTAAACGGAAGCATTCTCAGAAACTTCTTTGGGATGTTTGCATTCACCTCACAGAGTTGAACTTTCCCTTTGATAGCACAGCTTCGACACACTTTTTCTACAATGTGCAAGTGGATATTTAGCGGGCTTGGAGGACTGTGTTGGAAAAGGAAATATCTTCTCCTAAAAACGACATAGAAGCATTCTCAGAAACTGCTCTGTGATGATTGCATTCAACTCCCAGAGTTGAACATTCCTTTTGATAGAGCAGTTTGCAAACACTCTTTTTGTAGAATCTGCAAGTGGAGATTTGGACAGCTTTGAGGCCTGTGGTAGTAAAGGAAAGAACTTCATATAAAAACTAGACGGTAGCACTCTCAGAAAATTCTTTGTGACGATGGAGTTTAACTCAGAGAGCTGAACATTCGTTATGATGGAGCAGTTTCCAAACACACGTTTTGTAGAATCTGCAAGGGGATATTTGGACCTCTCTGAGGATTTCGTTGGGAACGGGATCAACTTCCCATAACTGAACGGAAGCAAACTCAGAACATTCTTTGTGATGTTTGTATTCAACTCACAGAGTTGAACCTTCCTTTGATAGTTCAGGTTTGCATCACCCTTGTAGTAGAATCTGCAAGTGTATATGTTGACCACTTTGTAGCCTTCGTTTGAAACGTCTATATCTTCACATCAAACCTAGACAGAAGCATTCTCAGAAAGTTTTCTGCGATGACTGCATTCAACTCACAGAGTTGAACAATCCTTTTGATGGAGCAGTTTTGAAACCCTCTTTCTTTGGAATCTGCAAGGGGATATGTGGACCTCTTTGAAGATTTCACTGGAAACGGGATCATCTTCACATAAGAACTAAACAGAAGCATTCTCGGAAACTACTTTGTGATGTTTGTATTCAACTCCCAGAGTTGAACTTTCCTTTTGAAAGAGCAGCTATGAAACACTCTTTTTCGAGAATCTGCAAGTGGACGTTTGGAGGGCTTTGAGGCCTGTGGTGGAAAAGGAAATATCTTCACATAAAAACTAGATAGAAGCATTCTCAGAGACTACTTTGTGAGGATGGCATTCAACTCATGGAGTTGAACTATCCTATTGATAGAGCAGATTGGAATCACTCTTTTTGTAGGATCTGCAAATGGAGATTTGGACTGCTTTGAGGCCTACGGTAGTACAGGAAGGAACTTCATATAAAAGGCAAACGGAAGCATTCTCAGAATATTCTTTGTGATGATGGAGTTTCACTCACAGAACTGAACATGCCTTTTGATGGAGCAGTTTCCAAATACACTTTTGGTAGAATCTGCAGGTGGATATTTGGACCTCTCTGAGGATTTCTTTGGAAACTGGAATAATTTCCCATAACTAAACACAAACACTCTGAGAAAGTTCTTCATGATGAATGCATTGAACTCGCAGAGATGAACCTGCCTTTGAGAGTTCAGGTTCGAAACACTCTTTCTGTAGAATCTGCAAGTGGATATTTGGACCACTGGGTGGCCTTCGTTCGAAACGGGTATATGTTCACGTAAAAACTAAAGAGAAGCGTTCTCAGAAACTTCTGAGTGATGATTGCACTCAAGTCACACGGTTGAACCCTCCTTATGATTGAGCAGTTTTGAAACTGTCTTTTTGTAGAATCTGTAAGTGGATGCGTGGACCTCTTTGAAGATTTCTTTCGAAACGGGAATATTTCCACAGAAAAACTAAACTGAAGCATTCTCAGAAACTGCTTTGTGATGTTTGTGTTCGAGCCACAGAGTTTAACATTGCTTTTCATAGAGCAGTTTTGAAATATTCTTTTGGCAGAATCTGCAAGTGGACATTTGGAGCGCTTTCAGGCCTGTGGTGGAAAAGGCCTGAAAGCCTTTTCCTTTATCTTCACAGAAAGACGAGAGAGAAGCATTGTCAGAAACTTCTTTGTGATGATTGCATTCAACTCACAGAGTTGAAGATTCCTTTTGAAACAGCAGTTTCGAAACACTCTTTCTGTGGGATCCGCAAGGGGATATTTGGACCTCTTTGAAGATTTCGTTGGAAACGGGATAATCTTCACCTAAAAGCTAAACGGAAGCATTCTCAGAAACTTCTTTGGGATGTTTGCATTCACCTCACAGAGTTGAACTTTCCCTTTGATAGCGCAGCTTCGACACACTTTTTCTACAATGTGCAAGTGGATATTTAGCGGGCTTGGAGGACTGTGTTGGAAAAGGAAATATCTTCTCCTAAAAACGACATAGAAGCATTCTCAGAAACTGCTCTGTGATGATTGCATTCAACTCCCAGAGTTGAACATTCCTTTTGATAGAGCAGTTTGCAAACACTCTTTTTGTAGAATCTGCAAGTGGAGATTTGGACCGCTTTGAGGCCTGTGGTAGTGAAGGAAAGAACTTCATATAAAAACCAGACGGTAGCACTCTCAGAAAATTCTTTGTGACGATGGAGTTTAACTCAGGGAGCTGAACATTCGTTAAGATGGAGCAGTTTCCAAACACACGTTTTGTAGAATCTGCAAGGGGATATTTGGACCTCTCTGAGGATTTCGTTGGAAACGGGATCAACTTCCCATAACTGAACGGAAGCAAACTCAGAACATTCTTTGTGATGTTTGTATTCAACTCACAGAGTTGAACCTTCCTTTGATAGTTCAGGTTTGCAACACCCTTGTAGTAGAATCTGCAAGTGTATATTTTGACCACTTTGTAGCCTTCGTTTGAAACCTCTATATCTTCACATCAAACCTAGACAGAAGCATTCTCAGAAAGTTTTCTGCGATGACTGCATTCAACTCACAGAGTTGAAGAATCCTTTTGATGGAGCAGTTTTGAAACCCTCTTTCTTTGGAATCTGCAAGGGGATATGTGGACCTCTTTGAAGATTTCACTGGAAACGGGATCATCTTCACATAAAAACTAAACAGAAGCATTCTCGGAAACTATTTTGTGATGTTTGTATTCAACTCCCAGAGTTGAACTTTCCTTTTGAAAGAGCAGCTATGAAACACTCTTTTTCGAGAATCTGCAAGTGGTCGTTTGGAGGGCTTTGAGGCCTGTGGTGGTAAAGGAAATATCTTCACACAAAAACCAGATAGAAGCATTCTCAGAAACTACTTTGTGAGGATGGCATTCAACTCATGGAGTTGAACAATCCTATTGATAGAGCAGATTGGAATCACTCTTTTTGTAGAATCTGCAAATGGAGATTTGGACTGCTTTGAGGCCTACGGTCGTATAGGAAGGAACTTCATATAAAAGGCAAACGGAAGCATTCTCAGAATATTCTTTGTGATGATGGAGTTTCACTCACAGAGCTGAACATGCCTTTTGATGGAGCAGTTTCCAAATACACTTTTGGTAGAATCTGCAGGTGGATATTTGGAGCTCTCTGAGGATTTCGTTGGAAACGGGAATAATTTCCCATAACTAAACACAAACACTCTGAGAAAGTTCTTCATGATGAATGCATTTAACTCGCAGAGATGAACCTGCCTTTGAGAGTTCAGGTTCGAAACACTCTTTCTGTAGAATCTGCAAGTGGATATTTGGACCACTGGGTGGCCTTCGTTCGAAACGGGTATATGTTCACGTAAAAACTAAAGAGAAGCATTCTCAGAAACTTCTGAGTGATGATTGCATTCAAGTCACACAGTTGAACCCTCCTTTTGATGGAGCAGTTTTGAAACTGTCTTTTTGTAGAATCTGTAAGTGGATACGTGGACCTCTTTGAAGATTTCTTTCGAAACGGGAGTATTTCCACAGAAAATCTAAACTGAAGCATTCTCAGAAACTGCTTTGTGATGTTTGTGTTCGAGCCACAGAGTTTAACATTGCTTTTCATAGAGCAGTTTTGAAATATTCTTTTGGCAGAATCTGCAAGTGGACATTTGGAGCGCTTTCAGGCCTGTGGTGGAAAAGGCCTGAAAGCCTTTTCCTTTATCTTCACAGAAAGACGAGAGAGAAGCATTGTCAGAAACTTCTTTGTGATGATTGCATTCAACTCACAGAGTTGAAGATTCCTTTTGAAACAGCAGTTTCGAAACACTCTTTCTGTGGGATCCACAAGGGGATATTTGGACCTCTTTGAAGGTTTCGTTGGAAACGGGATAATCTTCACCTAAAAGCTAAACGGAAGCATTCTCAGAAACTTCTTTGGGATGTTTGCATTCACCTCACAGAGTTGAACTTTCCCTTTGATAGCGCAGCTTTGACACACTTTTTCTACAATGTGCAAGTGGCTATTTAGCGGGCTTGGAGGACTGTGTTGGAAAAGGAAATATCTTCTCCTAAAAACGACATAGAAGCATTCTCAGAAACTGCTCTGTGATGATTGCATTCAACTCCCAGAGTTGAACATTCCTTTTGATAGAGCAGTTTGCAAACACTCTTTTTGTAGAATCTGCAAGTGGAGATTTGGACCGCTTTGAGGCCTGTGGTAGTGAAGGAAAGAACTTCATATAAAAACCAGACGGTAGCACTCTCAGAAAATTCTTTGTGACGATGGAGTTTAACTCAGGGAGCTGAACATTCGTTATGATGGAGCAGTTTCCAAACACACGTTTTGTAGAATCTGCGAGGGGATATTTGGACCTCTCTGAGGATTTCGTTGGAAACGGGATCAACTTCCCATAACTGAACGGAAGCAAACTCAGAACATTCTTTGTGATGTTTGTATTCAACTCACAGAGTTGAACCTTCCTTTGATAGTTCAGGTTTGCAACACCCTTGTAGTAGAATCTGCAAGTGTATATTTTGACCACTTTGTAGCCTTCGTTTGAAACGTCTATATCTTCACATCAAACCTAGACAGAAGCATTCTCAGAAAGTTTTCTGCGATGACTGCATTCAACTCACAGAGTTGAACAATCCTTCTGATGGAGCAGTTTTGAAACCCTCTTTCTTTGGAATCTGCAAGGGGATATGTGGACCTCTTTGAAGATTTCACTGGAAACGGGATCATCTTCACATAAAAACTAAACAGAAGCATTCTCGGAAACTACTTTGTGATGTTTGTATTCAACTCCTAGAGTTGAACTTTCCTTTTGAAAGAGCAGCTATGAAACACTCTTTTTCGAGAATCTGCAAGTGGACGTTTGGAGGGCTTTGAGGCCTGTGGTGGAAAAGGAAATATCTTCACACAAAAACCAGATAGAAGCATTCTCAGAAACTGCTTTGTGAGGATGGCATTCAACTCATGGAGTTGAACAATCCTATTGATAGAGCAGATTGGAATCACTCTTTTTGTAGAATCTGCAAATGGAGATTTGGACTGCTTTGAGGCCTACGGTAGTACAGGAAGGAACTTCATATAAAAGGCAAACGGAAGCATTCTCAGAATATTCTTTGTGATGATGGAGTTTCACTCACAGAGCTGAACATGCCTTTTGATGGAGCAGTTTCCAAATACACTTTTGGTAGAATCTGCAGGTGGATATTTGGAGCTCTCTGAGGATTTTGTTGGAAACGGGAATAATTTCCCATAACTAAACACAAACACTCTGAGAAAGTTCTTCATGATGAATGCATTTAACTCGCAGAGATGAACCTGCCTTTGAGAGTTCAGGTTCGAAACACTCTTTCTGTATAATCTGCAAGTGGATATTTGGACCACTGGGTGGCCTTCGTTCGAAACGGGTATATGTTCACGTAAAAACTAAAGAGAAGCATTCTCAGAAACTTCTGAGTGATGATTGCATTCAAGTCACACGGTTGAACCCTCCTTTTGATGGAGCAGTTTGGAAACTGTCTTTTTGTAGAATCTGTAAGTGGATACGTGGACCTCTTTGAAGATTTCTTTGGAAACGGGAAAATTTCCACAGAAAAACTAAACTGAAGCATTCTCAGAAACCGCTTTGTGATGTTTGTGTTCGAGCCGCAGAGTTTAACATTGCTTTTCATAGAGCAGTTTTGAAATATTCTTTTCGCAGAATCTGCAAGTGGACATTTGGAGCGCTTTCAGGCCTGTGGGTGGAAAAGGCCTGAAAGCCTTTTCCTTTATCTTCACAGAAAGACGAGAGAGAAGCATTGTCAGAAACTTCTTTGTGATGATTGCATTCAACTCACAGAGTTGAAGATTCCTTTTGAAACAGCAGTTTCAAAACACTCTTTCTGTGGGATCCGCAAGGGGATATTTAGACCTCTTTGAAGATTTCGTTGGAAACGGAATAATCTTCACCTAAAAGCTAAACGGAAGCATTCTCAGAAACTTCTTTGGGATGTTTGCATTCACCTCACAGAGTTCAACTTTCCCTTTGATAGCGCAGCTTTGACACACTTTTTCTACAATGTGCAAGTGGCTATTTAGCGGGCTTGGAGGACTGTGTTGGAAAAGGAAATATCTTCTCCTAAAAACGACATAGAAGCATTCTCAGAAACTGCTCTGTGATGATTGCATTCAACTCCCAGAGTTGAACATTCCTTTTGATAGAGCAGTTTGCAAACACTCTTTTTGTAGAATCTGCAAGTGGAGATTTGGACCGCTTTGAGGCCTGTGGTAGTGAAGGAAAGAACTTCATATAAAAACCAGACGGTAGCACTCTCAGAAAATTCTTTGTGACGATGGAGTTTAACTCAGGGAGCTGAACATTCGTTATGATGGAGCAGTTTCCAAACACACGTTTTGTAGAATCTGCAAGGGGATATTTTGACCTCTCTGAGGATTTCGTTGGAAACGGGATCAACTTCCCATAACTGAACGGAAGCAAACTCAGAACATTCTTTGTGATGTTTGTATTCAACTCACAGAGTTGAACCTTCCTTTGATAGTTCAGGTTTGCAACACCCTTGTAGTAGAATCTGCAAGTGTATATTTTGACCACTTTGTAGCCTTCATTTGAAACGTCTATACCTTCACATCAAACCTAGACAGAAGCATTCTCAGAAAGTTTTCTGCGATGACTGCATTCAACTCACAGAGTTGAACAATCCTTCTGATGGAGCAGTTTTGAAACCCTCTTTCTTTGGAATCTGCAAGGGGATATGTGGACCTCTTTGAAGATTTCACTGGAAACGGGATCATCTTCAAATAAAAACTAAACAGAAGCATTCTCGGAAACTACTTTGTGATGTTTGTATTCAACTCCCAGAGTTGAACTTTCCTTTTGAAAGAGCAGCTATGAAACACTCTTTTTCGAGAATCTGCAAGTGGACGTTTCGAGGGCTTTGAGGCCTGTGGTGGAAAAGGAAATATCTTCACACAAAAACCAGATAGAAGCATTCTCAGAAACTACTTTGTGAGGATGGCATTCAACTCATGGAGTTGAACAATCCTATTGATAGAGCAGATTGGAATCACTCTTTTTGTAGAATCTGCAAATGGAGATTTGGACTGCTTTGAGGCCTACGGTAGTACAGGAAGGAAGTTCATATAAAAGGCAAACGGAAGCATTCTCAGAATATTCTTTGTGATGATGGAGTTTCACTCACAGAGCTGAACATGCCTTTTGATGGAGCAGTTTCCAAATACACTTTTGGTAGAATCTGCAGGTGGATATTTGGAGCTCCCTGAGGATTTCGTTGGAAACGGGAATAATTTCCCATAACTAAACACAAACACTCTGAGAAAGTTCTTCATGATGAATGCATTTAACTCGCAGAGATGAACCTGCCTTTGAGAGTTCAGGTTCGAAACACTCTTTCTGTAGAATCTGCAAGTGGATATTTGGACCACTGGGTGGCCTTCGTTCGAAACGGGTATATGTTCACGTAAAAACTAAAGAGAAGCATTCTCAGAAACTTCTGAGTGATGATTGCATTCAAGTCACACAGTTGAACCCTCCTTTTGATGGAGCAGTTTTGAAACTGTCTTTTTGTAGAATCTGTAAGTGGATACGTGGACCTCTTTGAAGATTTCTTTGGAAACGGGAATATTTCCACAGAAATCTAAACTGAAACATTCTCAGAAACCGCTTTGTGATGTTTGTGTTCCAGCCACAGAGTTTAACATTGCTTTTCATAGAGCAGTTTTGAAATATTCTTTTCGCAGAATCTGCAAGTGGACATTTGGAGCGCTTTCAGGCCTGTGGTGGAAAAGGCCTGAAAGCCTTTTCCTTTATCTTCACAGAAAGACGAGAGAGAAGCATTGTCAGAAACTTCTTTGTGATGATTGCATTCAACTCACAGAGTTGAAGATTCCTTTTGAAACAGCAGTTTCGAAACACTCTTTCTGTGGGATCCGCAAGGGGATATTTGGACCTCTTTGAAGGTTTCGTTGGAAACGGGATAATCTTCACCTAAAAGCTAAACGGAAGCATTCTCAGAAACTTCTTTGGGATGTTTGCATTCACCTCACAGAGTTGAACTTTCCCTTTGATAGCGCAGCTTTGACACACTTTTTCTACAATGTGCAAGTGGCTATTTAGCGGGCTTGGAGGACTGTGTTGGAAAAGGAAATATCTTCTCCTAAAAACGACATAGAAGCATTCTCAGAAACTGCTCTGTGATGATTGCATTCAACTCCCAGAGTTGAACATTCCTTTTGATAGAGCAGTTTGCAAACACTCTTTTTGTAGAATCTGCAAGTGGAGATTTGGACCGCTTTGAGGCCTGTGGTAGTGAAGGAAAGAACTTCATATAAAAACCAGACGGTAGCACTCTCAGAAAATTCTTTGTGACGATGGAGTTTAACTCAGGGAGCTGAACATTCGTTACGATGGAGCAGTTTCCAAACACACGTTTTGTAGAATCTGCAAGGGGATATTTGGACCTCTCTGAGGATTTCGTTGGAAACGGGATCAACTTCCCATAACTGAACGGAAGCAAACTCAGAACATTCTTTGTGATGTTTGTATTCAACTCACAGAGTTGAACCTTCCTTTGATAGTTCAGGTTTGCAACACCCTTGTAGTAGAATCTGCAAGTGTATATTTTGACCACTTTGTAGCCTTCGTTTGAAACATCTATATCTTCACATCAAACCTAGACAGAAGCATTCTCAGAAAGTTTTCTGCGATGACTGCATTCAACTCACAGAGTTGAACAATCCTTCTGATGGAGCAGTTTTGAAACCCTCTTTCTTTGGAATCTGCAAGGGGATATGTGGACCTCTTTGAAGATTTCACTGGAAACGGGATCATCTTCACATAAAAACTAAACAGAAGCATTCTCGGAAACTACTTTGTGATGTTTGTATTCAACTCCCAGAGTTGAACTTTCCTTTTGAAAGAGCAGCTATAAAACACTCTTTTTCGAGAATCTGCAAGTGGACGTTTGGAGGGCTTTGAGGCCTGTGGTGGAAAAGGAAATATCTTCACATAAAAACTAGATAGAAGCATTCTCAGAAACGACTTTGTGAGGATGGCATTCAACTCATGGAGTTGAACAATCCTATTGATAGAGCAGATTGGAATCACTCTTTTTGTAGAATCTGCAAATGGAGATTTGGACTGCTTTGAGGCCTACGGTCGTATAGGAAGGAACTTCATATAAAAGGCAAACGGAAGCATTCTCAGAATATTCTTTGTGATGATGGAGTTTCACTCACAGAGCTGAATATGCCTTTTGATGGAGCAGTTTCCAAATACACTTTTGGTAGAATCTGCAGGTGGATATTTGGAGCTCTCTGAGGATTTCGTTGGAAACGGGAATAATTTCCCATAACTAAACACAAACACTCTGAGAAAGTTCTTCATGATGAATGCATTTAACTCGCAGAGATGAACCTGCCTTTGAGAGTTCAGGTTCGAAACACTCTTTCTGTAGAATCTGCAAGTGGATATTTGGACCACTGGCTGGCCTTCGTTCGAAACGGGTATATGTTCACGTAAAAACTAAAGAGAAGCATTCTCAGAAACTTCTGAGTGATGATTGCATTCAAGTCACACAGTTGAACCCTCCTTTTGATGGAGCAGTTTTGAAACTGTCTTTTTGTAGAATCTGTAAGTGGATACGTGGACCTCTTTGAAGATTTCTTTGGAAACGGGAATATTTCCACAGAAAAACTAAACTGAAGCATTCTCAGAAACCGCTTTGTGATGTTTGTGTTCGAGCCACAGAGTTTAACATTGCTTTTCATAGAGCAGTTTTGAAATATTCTTTTGGCAGAATCTGCAAGTGGACATTTGGAGCGCTTTCAGGCCTGTGGTGGAAAAGGCCTGAAAGCCTTTTCCTTTATCTTCACAGAAAGACGAGAGAGAAGCATTGTCAGAAACTTCTTTGTGATGATTGCATTCAACTCACAGAGTTGAAGATTCCTTTTGAAACAGCAGTTTCGAAACACTCTTTCTGTGGGATCCGCAAGGGGATATTTGGACCTCTTTGAAGGTTTCGTTGGAAACGGGATAATCTTCACCTAAAAGCTAAACGGAAGCATTCTCAGAAACTTCTTTGGGATGTTTGCATTCACCTCACAGAGTTGAACTTTCCCTTTGATAGCGCAGCTTTGACACACGTTTTCTACAATGTGCAAGTGGCTATTTAGCGGGCTTGGAGGACTGTGTTGGAAAAGGAAATATCTTCTCCTAAAAACGACATAGAAGCATTCTCAGAAACTGCTCTGTGATGATTGCATTCAACTCCCAGAGTTGAACATTCCTTTTGATAGAGCAGTTTGCAAACACTCTTTTTGTAGAATCTGGAAGTGGAGATTTGGACCGCTTTGAGGCCTGTGGTAGTGAAGGAAAGAGCTTCATATAAAAACCAGACGGTAGCACTCTCAGAAAATTCTTTGTGACGATGGAGTTTAACTCAGGGAGCTGAACATTCGTTATGATGGAGCAGTTTCCAAACACACGTTTTGTAGAATCTGCAAGGGGATATTTGGACCTCTCTGAGGATTTCGTTGGAAACGGGATCAACTTCCCATAACTGAACGGAAGCAAACTCAGAACATTCCTTGTGATGTTTGTATTCAACTCACAGAGTTGAACCTTCCTTTGATAGTTCAGGTTTGCAACACCCTTGTAGTAGAATCTGCAAGTGTATATTTTGACCACTTTGTAGCCTTCGTTTGAAACGTCTATATCTTCACATCAAACCTAGACAGAAGCCTTCTCAGAAAGTTTTCTGCGATGACTGCATTCAACTCACAGAGTTGAACAATCCTTCTGATGGAGCAGTTTTGAAACCCTCTTTCTTTGGAATCTGCAAGGGGATATGTGGACCTCTTTGAAGATTTCACTGGAAACGGGATCATCTTCACATAAAAACTAAACAGAAGCATTCTCGGAAACTACTTTGTGATGTTTGTATTCAACTCCCAGAGTTGAACTTTCCTTTTGAAAGAGCAGCTATGAAACACTCTTTTTCGAGAATCTGCAAGTGGACGTTTGGAGGGCTTTGAGGCCTGTGGTGGAAAAGGAAATATCTTCACATAAAAACTAGATAGAAGCATTCTCAGAAACTACTTTGTGAGGATGGCATTCAACTCATGGAGTTGAACAATCCTATTGATAGAGCAGATTGGAATCACTCTTTTTGTAGAATCTGCAAATGGAGATTTGGACTGCTTTGAGGCCTACGGTCGTATAGGAAGGAACTTCATATAAAAGGCAAACGGAAGCATTCTCAGAATATCTCCTTTGTGATGATGGAGTTTCACTCACAGAGCTGAACATGCCTTTTGATGGAGCAGTTTCCAAATACACTTTTGGTAGAATCTGCAGGTGGATATTTGGACCTCTCTGAGGATTTCGTTGGAAACGGGAATAATTTCCCATAACTAAACACAAACACGCTGAGAAAGTTCTTCATGATGAATGCATTTAACTCGCAGAGATGAACCTGCCTTTGAGAGTTCAGGTTCGAAACACTCTTTCTGTAGAATCTGCAAGTGGATATTTGGACCACTGGGTGGCCTTCGTTCGAAACGGGTATATGTTCACGTAAAAACTAAAGAGAAGCGTTCTCAGAAACTTCTGAGTGATGATTGCATTCAAGTCACACAGTTGAACCCTCCTTTTGATTGAGCAGTTTTGAAACTGTCTTTTTGTAGAATCTGTAAGTGGATGCGTGGACCTCTTTGAAGATTTCTTTGGAAACGGGAATATTTCCACAGAAAAACTAAACTGAAGCATTCTCAGAAACTGCTTTGTGATGTTTGTGTTCGAGCCACAGAGTTTAACATTGCTTTTCATAGAGCAGTTTTGAAATATTCTTTTGGCAGAATCTGCAAGTGGACATTTGGAGCGCTTTCAGGCCTGTGGTGGAAAAGGCCTGAAAGCCTTTTCCTTTATCTTCACAGAAAGACGAGAGAGAAGCATTGTCAGAAACTTCTTTGTGAAGATTGCATTCAACTCACAGAGTTGAAGATTCCTTTTGAAACAGCAGTTTCGAAACACTCTTTCTGTGGGATCTGCAAGGGGATATTTGGACCTCTTTGAAGATTTCGTTGGAAACAGGATAATCTTCACCTAAAAGCTAAACGGAAGCATTGTCAGAAACTTCTTTGGGATGTTTGCATTCACCTCACAGAGTTGAACTTTCCCTTTGATAGCGCAGCGTCGACACACGTTTTCTACAATGTGCAAGTGGATATTTAGCGGGCTTGGAGGACTGTGTTGGAAAAGGAAATATCTTCTCCTAAAAACGACATAGAAGCATTCTCAGAAACTGCTCTGTGATGATTGCATTCAACTCCCAGAGTTGAACATTCCTTTTGATAGAGCAGTTTGCAAACACTCTTTTTGTAGAATCTGCAAGTGGAGATTTGGACCGCTTTGAGGCCTGTGGTAGTAAAGGAAAGAACTTCATATAAAAACTAGACGGTAGCACTCTCAGAAAATTCTTTGTGACGATGGAGTTTAACTCAGAGAGCTGAATATTCGTTATGATGGAGCAGTTTCCAAACACACGTTTTGTAGAATCTGCAAGGGGATATTTGGACCTCTCTGAGGATTTCGTTGGAAACGGGATCAACTTCCCATAACTGAACGGAAGCAAACTCAGAACATTCTTTGTGATGTTTGTATTCAACTCACAGAGTTGAACCTTCCTTTGATAGTTCAGGTTTGCAACACCCTTGTAGTAGAATCTGCAAGTTTATATTTTGACCACTTTGTAGCCTTCGTTTGAAACGTCTATATCTTCACATCAAACCCAGACAGAAGCATTCTCAGAAAGTTTTCTGCGATGACTGCATTCAACTCACAGAGTTGAACAATCCTTTTGATGGAGCAGTTTTGAAACCCTCTTTCTTTGGAATCTGCAAGGGGATATGTGGACCTCTTTGAAGATTTCACTGGAAACGGGATCATCTTCACATAAGAACTAAACAGAAGCATTCTCGGAAACTACTTTGTGATGTTTGTATTCACCTCCCAGAGTTGAACTTTCCTTTTGAAAGAGCAGCTATGAAACACTCTTTTTCGAGAATCTGCAAGTGGACGTTTGGAGGGCTTTGAGGCCTGTGGTGGAAAAGGAAATATCTTCACATAAAAACTAGATAGAAGCATTCTCAGAAACTACTTTATGAGGATGGCATTCGACTCATGGAGTTGAACAATCCTATTGATAGAGCAGATTGGAATCACTCTTTTTGTAGAATCTGCAAATGGAGATTTGGACTGCTTTGAGGCCTACGGTAGTATAGGAAGGAACTTCATATAAAAGGCAAACGGAAGCATTCTCAGAATATTCTTTGTGATGATGGAGTTTCACTCACAGAGCTGAACATGCCTTTTGATGGAGCAGTTTCCAAATACACTTTTGGTAGAATCTGAAGGTGGATATTTGGACCTCTCTGAGGATTTCGTTGGAAACGGGAATAATTTCCCATAACTAAACACAAACACTCTGAGAAAGTTCTTCATGATGAATGCATTTAACTCGCAGAGATGAACCTGCCTTTGAGAGTTCAGGTTCGAAACACTCTTTCTGTAGAATCTGCAAGTGGATATTTGGACCACTGGGTGGCCTTCGTTCGAAACGGGTATATGTTCACGTAAAAACTAAAGAGAAGCATTCTCAGAAACTTCTGAGTGATGATTGCATTCAAGTCACACAGTTGAACCCTCCTTTTGATGGAGCAGTTTTGAAACTGTCTTTTTGTAGAATCTGTAAGTGGATACGTGGACCTCTTTGAAGATTTCTTTGGAAACGGGAATATTTCCACAGAAAAACTAAACTGAAGCATTCTCAGAAACCTCTTTGTGATGTTTGTGTTCGAGCCACAGAGTTTAACATTGCTTTTCATAGAGCAGTTTTGAAATATTCTTTTCGCAGAATCTGCAAGTGGACACTTGGAGCGCTTTCAGGCCTGTGGTGGCAAAGGCCTGAAAGCCTTTTCCTTTATCTTCACAGAAAGACGAGAGAGAAGCATTGTCAGAAACTTCTTTGTGATGATTGCATTCAACTCACAGAGTTGAAGATTCCTTTTGAAACAGCAGTTTCGAAACACTCTTTCTGTGGGATCCGCAAGGGGATATTTGGACCTCTTTGAAGGTTTCGTTGGAAACGGGATAATCTTCACCTAAAAGCTAAACGGAAGCATTCTCAGAAACTTCTTTGGGATGTTTGCATTCACCTCACAGAGTTGAACTTTCCCTTTGATAGCGCAGCTTTGACACACTTTTTCTACAATGTGCAAGTGGCTATTTAGCGGGCTTGGAGGACTGTGTTGGAAAAGGAAATATCTTCTCCTAAAAACGACATAGAAGCATTCTCAGAAACTGCTCTGTGATGATTGCATTCAACTCCCAGAGTTGAACATTCCTTTTGATAGAGCAGTTTGCAAACACTCTTTTTGTAGAATCTGCAAGTGGAGATTTGGACCGCTTTGAGGCCTGTGGTAGTGAAGGAAAGAACTTCATATAAAAACCAGACGGTAGCACTCTCAGAAAATTCTTTGTGACGATGGAGTTTAACTCAGGGAGCTGAACATTCGTTATGATGGAGCAGTTTCCAAACACACGTTTTGTAGAATCTGCAAGGGGATATTTGGACCTCTCTGAGGATTTCGTTGGAAACGGGATCAACTTCCCATAACTGAACGGAAGCAAACTCAGAACATTCTTTGTGATGTTTGTATTCAACTCACAGAGTTGAACCTTCCTTTGATAGTTCAGGTTTGCAACACCCTTGTAGTAGTATCTGCAAGTGTATATTTTGACCACTTTGTAGCCTTCGTTTGAAACGTCTATATCTTCACATCAAACCTAGACAGAAGCATTCTCAGAAAGTTTTCTGCGATGACTGCATTCAACTCACAGAGTTGAACAATCCTTTTGATGGAGCAGTTTTGAAACCCTCTTTCTTTGGAATCTGCAAGGGGATATGTGGACCTCTTTGAAGATTTCACTGGAAACGGGATCATCTTCACATAAAAACTAAACAGAAGCATTCTCGGAAACTACTTTGTGATGTTTGTATTCAACTCCCAGAGTTGAACTTTCCTTTTGAAAGAGCAGCTATGAAACACTCTTTTTCGAGAATCTACAAGTGGACGTTTGGAGGGCTTTGAGGCCTGTGGTGGAAAAGGAAATATCTTCACATAAAAACTAGATAGAAGCATTCTCAGAAACGACTTTGTGAGGATGGCATTCAACTCATGGAGTTGAACAATCCTATTGATAGAGCAGATTGGAATCACTCTTTTTGTAGAATCTGCAAATGGAGATTTGCACTGCTTTGAGGCCTACGGTCGTATAGGAAGGAACTTCATATAAAAGGCAAACGGAAGCATTCTCAGAATATTCTTTGTGATGATGGAGTTTCACTCACAGAGCTGAACATGCCTGTTGATGGAGCAGTTTCCAAATACACTTTTGGTAGAATCTGCAGGTGGACATTTGGACCTCTCTGAGGATTTCGTTGGGAACGGGAATAATTTCCCATAACTAAACACAAACACTCTGAGAAAGTTCTTCATGATGAATGCATTTAACTCGCAGAGATGAACCTGCCTTTGAGAGTTCAGGTTCGAAACACTCTTTCTGTAGAATCTGCAAGTGGATATTTGGACCACTGGGTGGCCTTCGTTCGAAACGGGTATATGTTCACGTAAAAACTAAAGAGAAGCATTCTCAGAAACTTCTGAGTGATGATTGCATTCAAGTCACACAGTTGAACCCTCCTTTTGATGGAGCAGTTTTGAAACTGTCTTTTTGTAGAATCTGTAAGTGGATACGTGGACCTCTTTGAAGATTTCTTTGGAAACGGGAATATTTCCACAGAAAAACTAAACTGAAGCATTCTCAGAAACCGCTTTGTGATGTTTGTGTTCGAGCCACAGAGTTTAACATTGCTTTTCACAAAGCAGTTTTGAAATATTCTTTTGGCAGAATCTGCAAGTGGACATTTGGAGCGCTTTCAGGCCTGTGGTGGCAAAGGCCTGAAAGCATTTATTTATCTTCACAGAAAGACGAGAGAGAAGCATTGTCAGAAACTTCTTTGTGATGATTGCATTCAACTCACAGAGTTGAAGATTCCTTTTGAAACAGCAGTTTCGAAACACTCTTTCTGTGGGATCCGCAAGGGGATATTTGGACTTCTTTGAAGGTTTCGTTGGAAACGGGATAATCTTCACCTAAAAGCTAAACGGAAGCACTCTCAGAAACTTCTTTGGGATGTTTGCATTCACCTCTCAGAGTTGAACTTTCCCTTTGATAGCGCAGCTTTGACACACTTTTTCTACAATGTGCAAGTGGCTATTTAGCGGACTTGGAGGACTGTGTTGGAAAAGGAAATATCTTCTCCTAAAAACGACATAGAAGCATTCTCAGAAACTGCTCTGTGATGATTGCATTCAACTCCCAGAGTTGAACATTCCTTTTGATAGAGCAGTTTGCAAACACTCTTTTTGTAGAATCTGCAAGTGGAGATTTGGACCGCTTTGAGGCCAGTGGTAGTGAAGGAAAGAACTTCATATAAAAACCAGACGGTAGCACTCTCAGAAAATTCTTTGTGACGATGGAGTTTAACTCAGGGAGCTGAACATTCGTTATGATGGAGCAGTTTCCAAACACACGTTTTGTAGAATCTGCAAGGGGATATTTGGACCTCTCTGAGGATTTCGTTGGAAACGGGATCAACTTCCCATAACTGAACGGAAGCAAACTCAGAACATTCTTTGTGATGTTTGTATTCAACTCACAGAGTTGAACCTTCCTTTGATAGTTCAGGTTTGCAACACCCTTGTAGTAGAATCTGCAAGTGTATATTTTGACCACTTTGTAGCCTTCGTTTGAAACGTCTATATCTTCACATCAAACCTAGAAAGAAGCATTCTCAGAAAGTTTTCTGCGATGACTGCATTCAACTCACAGAGTTGAACAATCCTTTTGATGGAGCAGTTTTGAAACCCTCTTTCTTTGGAATCTGCAAGGGGATATGTGGACCTCTTTGAAGATTTCACTGGAAACGGGATCATCTTCACATAAAAACTAAACAGAAGCAATCTCGGAAGCTATTTTGTGATGTTTGTATTCAACTCCCAGAGTTGAACTTTCCTTTTGAAAGAGCAGCTATGAAACACTCTTTTTCGAGAATCTGCAAGTGGACGTTTGGAGGGCTTTGAGGCCTGTGGTGGAAAAGGAAATATCTTCACACAAAAACCAGATAGAAGCATTCTCAGAAACGACTTTGTGAGGATGGCATTCAACTCATGGAGTTGAACAATCCTATTGATAGAGCAGATTGGAATCACTCTTTTTGTAGAATCTGCAAATGGAGATTTGGACTGCTTTGAGGCCTACGGTCGTATAGGAAGGAACTTCATATAAAAGGCAAACGGAAGCATTCTCAGAATATTCTTTGTGATGATGGAGTTTCACTCACAGAGCTGAACATGCCTTTTGATGGAGCAGTTTCCAAATACACTTTTGGTAGAATCTGCAGGTGGATATTTGGAGCTCTCTGAGGATTTCGTTGGAAACGGGAATAATTTCCCATAACTAAACACAAACACTCTGAGAAAGTTCTTCATGATGAATGCATTTAACTCGCAGAGATGAACCTGCCTTTGAGAGTTCAGGTTCGAAACACTCTTTCTGTAGAATCTGCAAGTGGATATTTGGACCACTGGCTGGCCTTCGTTCGAAACGGGTATATGTTCACGTAAAAACTAAAGAGAAGCATTCTCAGAAACTTCTGAGTGATGATTGCATTCAAGTCACACAGTTGAACCCTCCTTTTGATGGAGCAGTTTTGAAACTGTCTTTTTGTAGAATCTGTAAGTGGATACGTGGACCTCTTTGAAGATTTCTTTGGAAACGGGAATATTTCCACAGAAAAACTAAACTGAATCATTCTCAGAAACCGCCTTGTGATGTTTGTGTTCGAGCCACAGAGTTTAACATTGCGTTTCATAGAGCAGTTTTGAAATATTCTTTTGGCAGAATCTGCAAGTGGACATTTGGAGCGCTTTCAGGCCTGTGGTGGAAAAGTCCTGAAAGCCTTTTCCTTTACCTTCACAGAAAGACGAGAGAGAAGCATTGTCAGAAACTTCTTTGCGATGATTGCATTCAACTCACAGAGTTGAAGATTCCTTTTGAAACAGCAGTTTCGAAACACTCTTTCTGTGGGATCCGCAAGGGGATATTTGGACCTCTTTGAAGGTTTCGTTGGAAACGGGATAATCTTCACCTAAAAGCTAAACGGAAGCACTCTCAGAAACTTCTTTGGGATGTTTGCATTCACCTCACAGAGTTGAACTTTCCCTTTGATAGCGCAGCTTTGACACACTTTTTCTACAATGTGCAAGTGACTATTTAGCGGGCTTGGAGGACTGTGTTGGAAAAGGAAATATCTTCTCCTAAAAACGACATAGAAGCATTCTCAGAAACTGCTCTGTGATGATTGCATTCAACTCCCAGAGTTGAACATTCCTTTTGATAGAGCAGTTTGCAAACACTCTTTTTGTAGAATCTGCAAGTGGAGATTTGGACCGCTTTGAGGCCTGTGGTAGTGAAGGAAAGAGCTTCATATAAAAACCAGACGGTAGCACTCTCAGAAAATTCTTTGTGACGATGGAGTTTAACTCAGGGAGCTGAACATTCGTTATGATGGAGCAGTTTCCAAACACACGTTTTGTAGAATCTGCAAGGGGATATTTGGACCTCTCTGAGGATTTCGTTGGAAACGGGATCAACTTCCCATAACTGAACGGAAGCAAACTCAGAACATTCTTTTTGATGTTTGTATTCAACTCACAGAGTTGAACCTTCCTTTGATAGTTCAGGTTTGCAACACCCTTGTAGTAGAATCTGCAAGTGTATATTTTGACCACTTTGTAGCCTTCGTTTGAAACGTCTATATCTTCACATCAAACCTAGACAGAAGCATTCTCAGAAAGTTTTCTGCGATGACTGCATTCAACTCACAGAGTTGAACAATCCTTCTGATGGAGCAGTTTTGAAACCCTCTTTCTTTGGAATCTGCAAGGGGATATGTGGACCTCTTTGAAGATTTCACTGGAAACGGGATCATCTTCACATAAAAACTAAACAGAAGCATTCTCGGAAACTACTTTGTGATGTTTGTATTCAACTCCCAGAGTTGAACTTTCCTTTTGAAAGAGCAGCTATGAAACACTCTTTTTCGAGAATCTGCAAGTGGACGTTTGGAAGGCTTTGAGGCCTGTGGTGGAAAAGGAAATATCTTCACATAAAAACTAGATAGAAGCATTCTCAGAAACGACTTTGTGAGGATGGCATTCAACTCATGGAGTTGAACAATCCTATTGATAGAGCAGATTGGAATCACTCTTTTTGTAGAATCTGCAAATGGAGATTTGGACTGCTTTGAGGCCTACGGTCGTATAGGAAGGAACTTCATATAAAAGGCAAACGGAAGCATTCTCAGAATATTCTTTGTGATGATGGAGTTTCACTCACAGAGCTGAACATGCCTTTTGATGGAGCAGTTTCCAAATACACTTTTGGTAGAATCTGCAGGTGGATATTTGGAGCTCTCTGAGGATTTCGTTGGAAACGGGAATAATTTCCCATAACTAAACACAAACACTCTGAGAAAGTTCTTCATGATGAATGCATTTAACTCGCAGAGATGAACCTGCCTTTGAGAGTTCAGGTTCGAAACACTCTTTCTGTAGAATCTGCAAGTGGATATTTGGACCACTGGCTGGGTTCGTTCGAAACGGGTATATGTTCACGTAAAAACTAAAGAGAAGCATTCTCAGAAACTTCTGAGTGATGATTGCATTCAAGTCACACAGTTGAACCCTCCTTTTGATGGAGCAGTTTTGAAACTGTCTTTTTGTAGAATCTGTAAGTGGATACGTGGACCTCTTTGAAGATTTCTTTGGAAACGGGAATATTTCCACAGAAAAACTAAACTGAAGCATTCTCAGAAACCGCTTTGTGATGTTTGTGTTCGAGCCACAGAGTTTAACATTGCTTTTCATAGAGCAGTTTTGAAATATTCTTTTGGCAGAATCTGCAAGTGGACATTTGGAGCGCTTTCAGGCCTGTGGTGGAAAAGGCCTGAAAGCCTTTTCCTTTATCTTCACAGAAAGACGAGAGAGAAGCATTGTCAGAAACTTCTTTTTGATGATTGCATTCAACTCACAGAGTTGAAGATTCCTTTTGAAACAGCAGTTTCGAAACACTCTTTCTGTGGGATCCGCAAGGGGATATTTGGACCTCTTTGAAGGTTTCGTTGGAAACGGGATAATCTTCACCTAAAAGCTAAACGGAAGCATTCTCAGAAACTTCTTTGGGATGTTTGCATTCACCTCACAGAGTTGAACTTTCCCTTTGATAGCGCAGCTTCGACACACTTTTTCTACAATGTGCAAGTGGATATTTAGCCGGCTTGGAGGACTGTGTTGGAAAAGGAAATATCTTCTCCTAAAAACGACATAGAAGCATTCTCAGAAACTGCTCTGTGATGATTGCATTCAACTCCCAGAGTTGAACATTCCTTTTGATAGAGCAGTTTGCAAACACTCTTTTTGTAGAATCTGCAAGTGGAGATTTGGACCGCTTTGAGGCCGGTGGTAGTAAAGGAAAGAACTTCATATAAAAACTAAACGGTAGCACTCTCAGAAAATTCTTTGTGACGATGCAGTTTAACTCAGAGAGCTGAACATTCGTTATGATGGAGCAGTTTCCAAACACACGTTTTGTAGAATCTGCAAGGGGATATTTGGACCTCTCTGAGGATTTCGTTGGAAACGGGATCAACTGCCCATAACTGAACGGATGCAAACTCAGAACATTCTTTGTGATGTTTGTATTCAACTCACAGAGTTGAACCTTCCTTTGATAGTTCAGGTTTGCATCACCCTTGTAGTAGAATCTGCAAGTGTATATTTTGACCACTTTGTAGCCTTCGTTTGAAACGTCTATATCTTCACATCAAACCTAGACAGAAGCATTCTCAGAAAGTTTTCTGCGATGACTGCATTCAACTCACAGAGTTGAACAATCCTTTTGATGGAGCAGTTTTGAAACCCTCTTTCTTTGGAATCTGCAAGGGAATATGTGGACCTCTTTGAAGATTTCACTGGAAACGGGATCATCTTCACATAAGAACTAAACAGAAGCATTCTCGGAAACTACTTTGTGATGTTTGTATTCAACTCCCAGAGTTGAACTTTCCTTTTGAAAGAGCAGCTATGAAACCCTCTTTTTCGAGAATCTGCAAGTGGACGTTTGGAGGGCTTTGAGGCCTGTGGTGGAAAAGGAAATATCTTCACATAAAAACTAGATAGAAGCATTCTCAGAAACGACTTTGTGAGGATGGCATTCAACTCATGGAGTTGAACAATCCTATTGATAGAGCAGATTGGAGTCACTCTTTTTGTAGAATCTGCAAATGGAGATTTGGACTGCTTTGAGGCCTACGGTAATATAGGAAGGAACTTCATATAAAAGGCAAACGGAAGCATTCTCAGAATATTCTTTGTGATGATGGAGTTTCACTCACAGAGCTGAACATGCCTTTTGATGGAGCAGTTTCCAAATACACTTTTGGTAGAATCTGCAGGTGGATATTTGGAGCTCTCTGAGGATTTCGTTGGAAAAGGGAATAATTTCCCATAACTAAACACAAACACGCTGAGAAAGTTCTTCATGATGAATGCATTTAACTCGCAGAGATGAACCTGCCTTTGAGTGTTCAGGTTCGAAACACTCTTTCTGTAGAATCTGCAAGTGGATATTTGGACCACTGGCTGGCCTTCGTTCGAAACGGGTATATGTTCACGTAAAAACTAAAGAGAAGCGTTCTCAGAAACTTCTGAGTGATGATTGCATTCAAGTCACACAGTTGAACCCTCCTTTTGATTGAGCAGTTTTGAAACTGTCTTTTTGTAGAATCTGTAAGTGGATACGTGGACCTCTTTGAAGATTTCTTTGGAAACGGGAATATTTCCACAGAAAAACTAAACTGAAGCATTCTCAGAAACTGCTTTGTGATGTTTGTGTTCGAGCCACAGAGTTTAACATTGCTTTTCATAGAGCAGTTTTGAAATATTCTTTTGGCAGAATCTGCAAGTGGACATTTGGAGCGCTTTCAGGCCTGTGGTGGAAAAGGCCTGAAAGCCTTTTCCTTTATCTTCACAGAAAGATGAGAGAGAAGCATTGTCAGAAACTTCTTTGTGATGATTGCATTCAACTCACAGAATTGAAGATTCCTTTTGAAACAGCAGTTTCGGAACACTCTTTCTGTGGGATCCGCAGGGGGATATTTGGACCTCTTTGAAGATTTCGTTGGAAACGGGATAATCTTCACCAAAAAGCTAAACGGAAGCACTCTCAGAAACTTCTTAGGGATGTTTGCATTCACCTCTCAGAGTTGAACTTTCCCTTTGATAGCGCAGCTTTGACACACTTTTTCTACAATGTGCAAGTGGCTATTTAGCGGACTTGGAGGACTGTGTTGGAAAAGGAAATATCTTCTCCTAAAAACGACATAGAAGCATTCTCAGAAACTGCTCTGTGATGATTGCATTCAACTCCCAGAGTTGAACATTCCTTTTGATAGAGCAGTTTGCAAACACTCTTTTTGTAGAATCTGCAAGTGGAGATTTGGACCGCTTTGAGGCCTGTGGTAGTGAAGGAAAGAGCTTCATATAAAAACCAGACGGTAGCACTCTCAGAAAATTCTTTGTGACGATGGAGTTTAACTCAGGGAGCTGAACATTCGTTATGATGGAGCAGTTTCCAAAAACACGTTTTGTAGAATCTGCAAGGGGATATTTGGACCTCTCTGAGGATTTCGTTGGAAACGGGATCAACTTCCCATAACTGAACGGAAGCAAACTCAGAACATTCTTTGTGATGTTTGTATTCAACTCACAGAGTTGAACCTTCCTTTGATAGTTCAGGTTTGCAACACCCTTGTAGTAGAATCTGCAAGTGTATATTTTGACCACTTTGTAGCCTTCGTTTGAAACGTCTATATCTTCACATCAAACCTAGACAGAAGCATTCTCAGAAAGTTTTCTGCGATGACTGCATTCAACTCACAGAGTTGAACAATCCTATTGATGGAGCAGTTTTGAAACCCTCTTTCTTTGGAATCTGCAAGGGGATATGTGGACCTCTTTGAAGATTTCACTGGAAACGGGATCATCTTCACATAAAAACTAAACAGAAGCATTCTCGGAAACTACTTTGTGATGTTTGTATTCAACTCCCAGAGTTGAACTTTCCTTTTGAAAGAGCAGCTATGAAACACTCTTTTTCGAGAATCTGCAAGTGGACGTTTGGAGGGCTTTGAGGCCTGTGGTGGAAAAGGAAATATCTTCACATAAAAACTAGATAGAAGCATTCTCAGAAACGACTTTGTGAGGATGGCATTCAACTCATGGAGTTGAACAATCCTATTGATAGAGCAGATTGGAATCACTCTTTTTGTAGAATCTGCAAATGGAGATTTGCACTGCTTTGAGGCCTACGGTCGTATAGGAAGGAACTTCATATAAAAGGCAAACGGAAGCATTCTCAGAATATTCTTTGTGATGATGGAGTTTCACTCACAGAGCTGAACATGCCTGTTGATGGAGCAGTTTCCAAATACACTTTTGGTAGAATCTGCAGGTGGATATTTGGAGCTCTCTGAGGATTTCGTTGGAAACGGGAATAATTTCCCATAACTAAACACAAACACTCTGAGAAAGTTCTTCATGATGAATGCATTTAACTCGCAGAGATGAACCTGCCTTTGAGAGTTCAGGTTCGAAACACTCTTTCTGTAGAATCTGCAAGTGGATATTTGGACCACTGGGTGGCCTTCGTTCGAAACGGGTATATGTTCACGTAAAAACTAAAGAGAAGCATTCTCAGAAACTTCTGAGTGATGATTGCATTCAAGTCACACAGTTGAACCCTCCTTTTGATGGAGCAGTTTTGAAACTGTCTTTTTGTAGAATCTGTAAGTGGATACGTGGACCTCTTTGAAGATTTCTTTGGAAACGGGAATATTTCCACAGAAAAACTAAACTGAAGCATTCTCAGAAACTGCTTTGTGATGTTTGTGTTCGAGCCACAGAGTTTAACATTGCTTTTCATAGAGCAGTTTTGAAATATTCTTTTAGCAGAATCTGCAAGTGGACATTTGGAGCGCTTTCAGGCCTGTGGTGGAAAAGGCCTGAAAGCCTTTTCCTTTATCTTCACAGAAAGACGAGAGAGAAGCATTGTCAGAAACTTCTTTGTGATGATTGCATTCAACTCACAGAGTTGAAGATTCCTTTTGAAACAGCAGTTTCGAAACACTCTTTCTGTGGGATCCGCAAGGGGATATTTGGACCTCTTTGAAGGTTTCGTTGGAAACGGGATAATCTTCACCTAAAAGCTAAACGGAAGCATTCTCAGAAACTTCTTTGGGATGTTTGCATTCACCTCACAGAGTTGAACTTTCCCTTTGATAGCGCAGCTTTGACACACTTTTTCTACAATGTGCAAGTGGCTATTTAGCGGGCTTAGAGGACTGTGTTGGAAAAGGAAATATCTTCTCCTAAAAACGACATAGAAGCATTCTCAGAAACTGCTCTGTGATGATTGCATTCAACTCCCAGAGTTGAACATTCCTTTTGATAGAGCAGTTTGCAAACACTCTTTTTGTAGAATCTGCAAGTGGAGATTTGGACCGCTTTGAGGCCTGTGGTAGTGAAGGAAAGAACTTCATATAAAAACCAGACGGTAGCACTCTCAGAAAATTCTTTGTGACGATGGAGTTTAACTCAGGGAGCTGAACATTCGTTATGATGGAGCAGTTTCCAAACACACGTTTTGTAGAATCTGCAAGGGGATATTTGGACCTCTCTGAGGATTTCGTTGGAAACGGGATCAACTTCCCATAACTGAACGGAAGCAAACTCAGAACATTCTTTGTGATGTTTGTATTCAACTCACAGAGTTGAACCTTCCTTTGATAGTTCAGGTTTGCAACACCCTTGTAGTAGAATCTGCAAGTGTATATTTTGACCTCTTTGTAGCCTTCGTTTGAAACGTCTATATCTTCACATCAAACCTAGACAGAAGCATTCTCAGAAAGTTTTCTGCGATGACTGCATTCAACTCACAGAGTTGAACAATCCTTTTGATGGAGCAGTTTTGAAACCCTCTTTCTTTGGAATCTGCAAGGGGATATGTGGACCTCTTTGAAGATTTCACTGGAAACGGGATCATCTTCACATAAAAACTAAACAGAAGCATTCTCGGAAACTATTTTGTGATGTTTGTATTCAACTCCCAGAGTTGAACTTTCCTTTTGAAAGAGCAGCTATGAAACACTCTTTTTCGAGAATCTGCAAGTGGACGTTTGGAGGGCTTTGAGGCCTGTGGTGGAAAAGGAAATATCTTCACACAAAAACCAGATAGAAGCATTCTCAGAAACTACTTTGTGAGGATGGCATTCAACTCATGGAGTTGAACAATCCTATTGATAGAGCAGATTGGAATCACTCTTTTTGTAGAATCTGCAAGTGGAGATTTGGACCGCTTTGAGGTCTGTGGTAGTGAAGGAAAGAACTTCATATAAAAACCAGACGGTAGCACTCTGAGAAAATTCTTTGTGACGATGGAGTTTAACTCAGGGAGCTGAACATTCGTTATGATGGAGCAGTTTCCAAACACACGTTTTGTAGAATCTGCAAGGGGATATTTGGACCTCTCTGAGGATTTCGTTGGAAACGGGATCAACTTCCCATAACTGAACGGAAGCAAACTCAGAACATTCTTTGTGATGTTTGTATTCAACTCACAGAGTTGAACCTTCCTTTGATAGTTCAGGTTTGCAACACCCTTGTAGTAGAATCTGCAAGTGTATATTTTGACCACTTTGTAGCCTTCGTTTGAAACGTCTATATCTTCACATCAAACCTAGAAAGAAGCATTCTCAGAAAGTTTTCTGCGATGACTGCATTCAACTCACAGAGTTGAACAATCCTTCTGATGGAGCAGTTTTGAAACCCTCTTTCTTTGGAATCTGCAAGGGGATATGTGGACCTCTTTGAAGATTTCACTGGAAACGGGATCATCTTCACATAAAAACTAAACAGAAGCATTCTCGGAAACTACT
Source organism: Homo sapiens (assembly GCF_000001405.40). Classification (NCBI taxonomy): domain Eukaryota; kingdom Metazoa; phylum Chordata; class Mammalia; order Primates; family Hominidae; genus Homo; species Homo sapiens. The sequence goes on from NC_000023.11 coordinate 60,254,489, forward strand.
TTGTGATGTTTGTATTCAACTCCCAGAGTTGAACTTTCCTTTTGAAAGAGCAGCTATGAAACACTCTTTTTCGAGAATCTGCAAGTGGACGTTTGGAAGGCTTTGAGGCCTGTGGTGGAAAAGGAAATATCTTCACATAAAAACTAGATAGAAGCATTCTCAGAAACTACTTTGTGAGGATGGCATTCAACTCATGGAGTTGAACAATCCTATTGATAGAGCAGATTGGAATCACTCTTTTTGTAGAATCTGCAAACGGAGATTTGGACTGCTTTGAGGCCTACGGTAGTATAGGAAGGAACTTCATATAAAAGGCAAACGGAAGCATTCTCAGAATATTCTTTGTGATGATGGAGTTTCACTGACAGAGCTGAACATGCCTTTTGATGGAGCAGTTTCCAAATACACTTTTGGTAGAATCTGCAGGTGGATATTTGGAGCTCTCTGAGGATTTCGTTGGAAACGGGAATAATTTCCCATAACTAAACACAAACACTCTGAGAAAGTTCTTCATGATGAATGCATTCAACTCGCAGAGATGAACCTGCCTTTGAGAGTTCACGTTCGAAACACTCTTTCTGTAGAATCTGCAAGTGGATATTTGGACCACTGGCTGGCCTTCGTTCGAAACGGGTATATGTTCACGTAAAAACTAAAGAGAAGCATTCTCAGAAACTTCTGAGTGATGATTGCATTCAAGTCACACGGTTGAACCCTCCTTTTGATGGAGCAGTTTTGAAACTGTCTTTTTGTAGAATCTGTAAGTGGATACGTGGACCTCTTTGAAGATTTCTTTGGAAACGGGAATATTTCCACAGAAAAACTAAACTGAAGCATTCTCAGAAACCGCTTTGTGATGTTTGTGTTCCAGCCACAGAGTTTAACATTGCTTTTCATAGAGCAGTTTTGAAATATTCTTTTCGCAGAATCTGCAAGTGGACATTTGGAGCGCTTTCAGGCCTGTGGTGGCAAAGGCCTGAAAGCCTTTTCCTTTATCTTCACAGAAAGACGAGAGAGAAGCATTGTCAGAAACTTCTTTGTGATGATTGCATTCAACTCACAGAGTTGAAGATTCCTTTTGAAACAGCAGTTTTGAAACACTCTTTCTGTGGGATCCGCAAGGGGATATTTGGACCTCTTTGAAGGTTTCGTTGGAAACGGTATAATCTTCACCTAAAAGCTAAACGGAAGCATTCTCAGAAACTTCTTTGGGATGTTTGCATTCACCTCACAGAGTTGAACTTTCCCTTTGATAGCGCAGCTTTGACACACTTTTTCTACAATGTGCAAGTAGCTATTTAGCGGGCTTGGAGGACTGTGTTGGAAAAGGAATTATCTTCTCCTAAAAACGACATAGAAGCATTCTCAGAAACTGCTCTGTGATGATTGCATTCAACTCCCAGAGTTGAACATTCCTTTTGATAGAGCAGTTTGCAAACACTCTTTTTGTAGAATCTGCAAGTGGAGATTTGGACCGCTTTGAGGCCTGTGGTAGTGAAGGAAAGAACTTCATATAAAAACCAGACGGTAGCACTCTCAGAAAATTCTTTGTGACGATGGAGTTTAACTCAGGGAGCTGAACATTCGTTATGATGGAGCAGTTTCCAAACACACGTTTTGTAGAATCTGCAAGGGGATATTTGGACCTCTCTGAGGATTTCGTTGGAAACGGGATCAACTTCCCATAACTGAACGGAAGCAAACTCAGAACATTCTTTGTGATGTTTGTATTCAACTCACAGAGTTGAACCTTCCTTTGATAGTTCAGGTTTGCAACACCCTTGTAGTAGAATCTGCAAGTGTATATTTTGACCACTTTGTAGCCTTCGTTTGAAACATCTATATCTTCACATCAAACCTAGACAGAAGCATTCTCAGAAAGTTTTCTGCGATGACTGCATTCAACTCACAGAGTTGAACAATCCTTCTGATGGAGCAGTTTTGAAACCCTCTTTCTTTGGAATCTGCAAGGGGATATGTGGACCTCTTTGAAGATTTCACTGGAAACGGGATCATCTTCACATAAAAACTAAACAGAAGCATTCTCGGAAACTACTTTGTGATGTTTGTATTCAACTCCCAGAGTTGAACTTTCCTTTTGAAAGAGCAGCTATGAAACACTCTTTTTCGAGAATCTGCAAGTGGACGTTTGGAGGGCTTTGAGGCCTGTGGTGGAAAAGGAAATATCTTCACATAAAAACTAGATAGAAGCATTCTCAGAAACGACATTGTGAGGATGGCATTCAACACATGGAGTTGAACAATCCTATTGATAGAGCAGATTGGAATCACTCTTTTTGTAGAATCTGCAAATGGAGATTTGGACTGCTTTGAGGCCTACGGTAGTATAGGAAGGAACTTCATATAAAAGGCAAACGGAAGCATTCTCAGAATATTCTTTGTGATGATGGAGTTTCACTCACAGAGCTGAACATGCCTTTTGATGGAGCAGTTTCCAAATACACTTTTGGTAGAATCTGCAGGTGGATATTTGGAGCTCTCTGAGGATTTCGTTGGAAACGGGAATAATTTCCCATAACTAAACACAAACACTCTGAGAAAGTTCTTCATGATGAATGCATTTAACTCGCAGAGATGAACCTGCCTTTGAGAGTTCAGGTTCGAAACACTCTTTCTGTAGAATCTGCAAGTGGATATTTGGACCACTGGGTGGCCTTCGTTCGAAACGGGTATATGTTCACGTAAAAACTAAAGAGAAGCATTCTCAGAAACTTCTGAGTGATGATTGCATTCAAGTCACACAGTTGAACCCTCCTTTTGATGGAGCAGTTTTGAAACTGTCTTTTTGTAGAATCTGTAAGTGGATACGTGGACCTCTTTGAAGATTTCTTTGGAAACGGGAATATTTCCACAGAAAAACTAAACTGAAACATTCTCAGAAACCGCTTTGTGATGTTTGTGTTCCAGCCACAGAGTTTAACATTGCTTTTCATAGAGCAGTTTTGAAATATTCTTTTGGCAGAATCTGCAAGTGGACATTTGGAGCGCTTTCAGGCCTGTGGTGGCAAAGGCCTGAAAGCCTTTTCCTTTATCTTCACAGAAAGACGAGAGAGAAGCATTGTCAGAAACTTCTTTGTGATGATTGCATTCAACTCACAGAGTTGAAGATTCCTTTTGAAACAGCAGTTTCGAAACACTCTTTCTGTGGGATCCGCAAGGGGATATTTGGACCTCTTTGAAGGTTTCGTTGGAAACGGGATAATCTTCACCTAAAAGCTAAACGGAAGCATTCTCAGAAACTTCTTTGGGATGTTTGCATTCACCTCACAGAGTTGAACTTTCCCTTTGATAGCGCAGCTTTGACACACTTTTTCTACAATGTGCAAGTGGCTATTTAGCGGGCTTGGAGGACTGTGTTGGAAAAGGAAATATCTTCTCCTAAAAACGACATAGAAGCATTCTCAGAAACTGCTCTGTGATGATTGCATTCAACTCCCAGAGTTGAACATTCCTTTTGATAGAGCAGTTTGCAAACACTCTTTTTGTAGAATCTGCAAGTGGAGATTTGGACCGCTTTGAGGCCTGTGGTAGTGAAGGAAAGAACTTCATATAAAAACCAGACGGTAGCACTCTCAGAAAATTCTTTGTGACGATGGAGTTTAACTCAGGGAGCTGAACATTCTTTATGATGGAGCAGTTTCCAAACACACGTTTTGTAGAATCTGCGAGGGGATATTTGGACCTCTCTGAGGATTTCGTTGGAAACGGGATCAACTTCCCATAACTGAACGGAAGCAAACTCAGAACATTCTTTGTGATGTTTGTATTCAACTCACAGAGTTGAACCTTCCTTTGATAGTTCAGGTTTGCAACACCCTTGTAGTAGAATCTGCAAGTGTATATTTTGACCACTTTGTAGCCTTCGTTTGAAACGTCTATATCTTCACATCAAACCTAGACAGAAGCATTCTCAGAAAGTTTTCTGCGATGACTGCATTCAACTCACAGAGTTGAACAATCCTTCTGATGGAGCAGTTTTGAAACCCTCTTTCTTTGGAATCTGCAAGGGGATATGTGGACCTCTTTGAAGATTTCACTGGAAACGGGATCATCTTCACATAAAAACTAAACAGAAGCATTCTCGGAAACTACTTTGTGATGTTTGTATTCAACTCCCAGAGTTGAACGTTCCTTTTGAAAGAGCAGCTATGAAACACTCTTTTTCGAGAATCTGCAAGTGGACGTTTGGAGGGCTTTGAGGCCTGTGGTGGAAAAGGAAATATCTTCACATAAAAACTAGATAGAAGCATTCTCAGAAACGACTTTGTGAGGATGGCATTCAACTCATGGAGTTGAACAATCCTATTGATAGAGCAGATTGGAATCACTCTTTTTGTAGAATCTGCAAATGGAGATTTGGACTGCTTTGAGGCCTACGGTCGTATAGGAAGGAACTTCAGATAAAAGGCAAACGGAAGCATTCTCAGAATATTCTTTGTGATGATGGAGTTTCACTCACAGAGCTGAACATGCCTTTTGATGGAGCAGTTTCCAAATACACTTTTGGTAGAATCTGCAGGTGGATATTTGGAGCTCTCTGAGGATTTCGTTGGAAACGGGAATAATTTCCCATAACTAAACACAAACACTCTGAGAAAGTTCTTCATGATGAATGCATTTAACTCGCAGAGATGAACCTGCCTTTGAGAGTTCAGGTTCGAAACACTCTTTCTGTAGAATCTGCAAGTGGATATTTGGACCACTGGGTGGCCTTCGTTCGAAACGGGTATATGTTCACGTAAAAACTAAAGAGAAGCATTCTCAGAAACTTCTGAGTGATGATTGCATTCAAGTCACACGGTTGAACCCTCCTTTTGATGGAGCAGTTTTGAAACTGTCTTTTTGTAGAATCTGTAAGTGGATACGTGGACCTCTTTGAAGATTTCTTTGGAAACGGGAATATTTCCACAGAAAAACTAAACTGAAGCATTCTCAGAAACTGCTTTGTGATGTTTGTGTTCGAGCCACAGAGTTTAACATTGCTTTTCATAGAGCAGTTTTGAAATATTCTTTTCGCAGAATCTGCAAGTGGACATTTGGAGCGCTTTCAGGCCTGTGGTGGCAAAGGCCTGAAAGCCTTTTCCTTTATCTTCACAGAAAGACGAGAGAGAAGCATTGTCAGAAACTTCTTTGTGATGATTGCATTCAACTCACAGAGTTGAAGATTTCTTTTGAAACAGCAGTTTCGAAACACTCTTTCTGTGGGATCCGCAAGGGGATATTTGGACCTCTTTGAAGGTTTCGTTGGAAACGGGATAATCTTCACCTAAAAGCTAAACGGAAGCATTCTCAGAAACTTCTTTGGGATGTTTGCATTCACCTCACAGAGTTGAACTTTCCCTTTGATAGCGCAGCTTTGACACACTTTTTCTACAATGTGCAAGTGGCTATTTAGCGGGCTTGGAGGACTGTGTTGGAAAAGGAAATATCTTCTCCTAAAAACGACATAGAAGCATTCTCAGAAACTGCTCTGTGATGATTGCATTCAACTCCCAGAGTTGAACATTCCTTTTGATAGAGCAGTTTGCAAACACTCTTTTTGTAGAATCTGCAAGTGGAGATTTGGACCGCTTTGAGGCCTGTGGTAGTGAAGGAAAGAACTTCATATAAAAACCAGACGGTAGCACTCTCAGAAAATTCTTTGTGACGATGGAGTTTAACTCAGGGAGCTGAACATTCGTTATGATGGAGCAGTTTCCAAACACACGTTTTGTAGAATCTGCAAGGGGATATTTGGACCTCTCTGAGGATTTCGTTGGAAACGGGATCAACTTCCCATAACTGAACGGAAGCAAACTCAGAACATTCTTTGTGATGTTTGTATTCAACTCACAGAGTTGAACCTTCCTTTGATAGTTCAGGTTTGCAACACCCTTGTAGTAGAATCTGCAAGTGTATATTTTGACCACTTTGTAGCCTTCGTTTGAAACGTCTATATCTTCACATCAAACCTAGACAGAAGCATTCTCAGAAAGTTTTCTGCGATGACTGCATTCAACTCACAGAGTTGAACAATCCTTCTGATGGAGCAGTTTTGAAACCCTCTTTCGTTGGAATCTGAAAGGGGATATGCGGACCTCTTTGAAGATTTCACTGGAAACGGGATCATCTTCACATAAAAACTAAACAGAAGCATTCTCGGAAACTACTTTGTGATGTTTGTATTCAACTCCCAGAGTTGAACTTTCCTTTTGAAAGAGCAGCTATGAAACACTCTTTTTCGAGAATCTGCAAGTGGACGTTTGGAGGGCTTTGAGGCCTGTGGTGGAAAAGGAAATATCTTCACATAAAAACTAGATAGAAGCATTCTCAGAAACTACTTCGTGAGGATGGCATTCAACTCATGGAGTTGAACAATCCTATTGATAGAGCAGATTGGAATCACTCTTTTTGTAGAATCTGCAAATGGAGATTTGGACTGCTTTGAGGCCTACGGTAGTATAGGAAGGAACTTCATATAAAAGGCAAACGGAAGCATTCTCAGAATATTCTTTGTGATGATGGAGTTTCACTCACAGAGCTGAACATGCCTTTTGATGGAGCAGTTTCCAAATACACTTTTGGTAGAATCTGCAGGTGGATATTTGGAGCTCTCTGAGGATTTCGTTGGAAACGGGAATAATTTCCCATAACTAAACACAAACACTCTGAGAAAGTTCTTCATGATGAATGCATTTAACTCGCAGAGATGAACCTGCCTTTGAGAGTTCAGGTTCGAAACACTCTTTCTGTATAATCTGCAAGTGGATATTTGGACCACTGGGTGGCCTTCGATCGAAACGGGTATATGTTCACGTAAAAACTAAAGAGAAGCATTCTCAGAAACTTCTGAGTGATGATTGCATTCAAGTCACACAGTTGAACCCTCCTTTTGATGGAGCAGTTTTGAAACTGTCTTTTTGTAGAATCTGTAAGTGGATACGTGGACCTCTTTGAAGATTTCTTTGGAAACGGGAATATTTCCACAGAAAAAGTAAACTGAAACATTCTCAGAAACCGCTTTGTGATGTTTGTGTTCCAGCCACAGAGTTTAACATTGCTTTTCATAGAGCATTTTTGAAATATTCTTTTGGCAGAATCTGCAAGTGGACATTTGGAGCGCTTTCAGGCCTGTGGTGGAAAAGGCCTGAAAGCCTTTTCCTTTATCTTCACAGAAAGACGAGAGAGAAGCATTGTCAGAAACTTCTTTGTGATGATTGCATTCAACTCACAGAGTTGAAGATTCCTTTTGAAACAGCAGTTTCGAAACACTCTTTCTGTGGGATCCGCAAGGGGATATTTGGACCTCTTTGAAGGTTTCGTTGGAAACGGGATAATCTTCACCTAAAAGCTAAACGGAAGCATTCTCAGAAACTTCTTTGGGATGTTTGCATTCACCTCACAGAGTTGAACTTTCCCTTTGATAGCGCAGCTTTGACACACTTTTTCTACAATGTGCAAGTGGCTATTTAGCGGGCTTGGAGGACTGTGTTGGAAAAGGAAATATCTTCTCCTAAAAACGACATAGAAGCATTCTCAGAAACTGCTCTGTGATGATTGCATTCAACTCCCAGAGTTGAACATTCCTTTTGATAGAGCAGTTTGCAAACTCTCTTTTTGTAGAATCTGCAAGTGGAGATTTGGACTGCTTTGAGGCCTGTGGTAGTGAAGGAAAGAACTTCATATAAAAACCAGACGGTAGCACTCTCAGAAAATTCTTTGTGACGATGGAGTTTAACTCAGGGAGCTGAACATTCGTTATGATGGAGCAGTTTCCAAACACACGTTTTGTAGAATCTGCAAGGGGATATTTGGACCTCTCTGAGGATTTCGTTGGAAACGGGATCAACTTCCCATAACTGAACGGAAGCAAACTCAGAACATTCTTTGTGATGTTTGTATTCAACTCACAGAGTTGAACCTTCCTTTGATAGTTCAGGTTTGCAACACCCTTGTAGTAGAATCTGCAAGTGTATATTTTGACCACTTTGTAGCCTTCGTTTGAAACGTCTATATCTTCACATCAAACCTAGACAGAAGCATTCTCAGAAAGTTTTCTGCGATGACTGCATTCAACTCACACAGTTGAACAATCCTTCTGATGGAGCAGTTTTGAAACCCACTTTCTTTGGAATCTGCAAGGGGATATGTGGACCTCTTTGAAGATTTCACTGGAAACGGGATCATCTTCACATAGAAACTAAACAGAAGCATTCTCGGAAACTACTTTGTGATGTTTGTATTCAACTGCCAGAGTTGAACTTTCCTTTTGAAAGAGCAGCTATGAAACACTCTTTTTCGAGAATCTGCAAGTGGACGTTTGGAGGGCTTTGAGGCCTGTGGTGGAAAAGGAAATATCTTCACATAAAAACTAGATAGAAGCATTCTCAGAAACTACTTTGTGAGGATGGCATTCAACTCATGGAGTTGAACAATCCTATTAATAGAGCAGATTGGAATCACTCTTTTTGTAGAATCTGCAAATGGAGATTTGGACTGCTTTGAGGCCTACGGTCGTATAGGAAGGAACTTCATATAAAAGGCAAACGGAAGCATTCTCAGAATATTCTTTGTGATGATGGAGTTTCACTCACAGAGCTGAACATGCCTTTTGATGGAGCAGTTTCCAAATACACTTTTGGTAGAATCTGCAGGTGGATATTTGGAGCTCTTTGAGGATTTCGTTGGAAACGGGAATAATTTCCCATAACTAAACACAAACACTCTGAGAAAGTTCTTCATGATGAATGCATTTAACTCGCAGAGATGAACCTGCCTTTGAGAGTTCAGGTTCGAAACACTCTTTCTGTAGAATCTGCAAGTGGATATTTGGACCACTGGGTGGCCTTCGTTCGAAACGGGTATATGTTCACGTAAAAACTAAAGAGAAGCATTCTCAGAAACTTCTGAGTGATGATTGCATTCAAGTCACACAGTTGAACCCTCCTTTTGATGGAGCAGTTTTGAAACTGTCTTTTTGTAGAATCTGTAAGTGGATACGTGGACCTCTTTGAAGATTTCTTTGGAAACGGGAATATTTCCACAGAAAAACTAAACTGAAGCATTCTCAGAAACTGCTTTGTGATGTTTGTGTTCGAGCCACAGAGTTTAACATTGCTTTTCATAGAGCAGTTTTGAAATATTCTTTTGGCAGAATCTGCAAGTGGACATTTGGAGCGCTTTCAGGCCTGTGGTGGCAAAGGCCTGAAAGCCTTTTCCTTTATCTTCACAGAAAGACGAGAGAGAAGCATTGTCAGAAACTTCTTTGTGATGATTGCATTCAACTCACAGAGTTGAAGATTCCTTTTGAAACAGCAGTTTCGAAACACTCTTTCTGTGGGATCCGCAAGGGGATATTTGGACCTCTTTGAAGGTTTCGTTGGAAACGGGATAATCTTCACCTAAAAGCTAAACGGAAGCATTCTCAGAAACTTCTTTGGGATGTTTGCATTCACCTCACAGAGTTGAACTTTCCCTTTGATAGCGCAGCTTTGACACACTTTTTCTACAATGTGCAAGTGGCTATTTAGCGGGCTTGGAGGACTGTGTTGGAAAAGGAAATATCTTCTCCTAAAAACGACATAGAAGCATTCTCAGAAACTGCTCTGTGATGATTGCATTCAACTCCCAGTGTTGAACATTCCTTTTGATAGAGCAGTTTGCAAACACTCTTTTTGTAGAATCTGCAAGTGGAGATTTGGACCGCTTTGAGGCCTGTGGTAGTGAAGGAAAGAACTTCATATAAAAACCAGACGGTAGCACTCTCAGAAAATTCTTTGTGACGATGGAGTTTAACTCAGGGAGCTGAACATTCGTTATGATGGAGCAGTTTCCAAACACACGTTTTGTAGAATCTGCGAGGGGATATTTGGACCTCTCTGAGGATTTCGTTGGAAACGGGATCAACTTCCCATAACTGAACGGAAGCAAACTCAGAACATTCTTTGTGATGTTTGTATTCAACTCACAGAGTTGAACCTTCCTTTGATAGTTCAGGTTTGCAACACCCTTGTAGTAGAATCTGCAAGTGTATATTTTGACCACTTTGTAGCCTTCATTTGAAACGTCTATATCTTCACATCAAACCTAGACAGAAGCATTCTCAGAAAGTTTTCTGCGATGACTGCATTCAACTCACAGAGTTGAACAATCCTTCTGATGGAGCAGTTTTGAAACCCTCTTTCTTTGGAATCTGCAAGGGGATATGTGGACCTCTTTGAAGATTTCACTGGAAACGGGATCATCTTCACATAAAAACTAAACAGAAGCATTCTCGGAAACTACTTTGTGATGTTTGTATTCAACTGCCAGAGTTGAACTTTCCTTTTGAAAGAGCAGCTATGAAACACTCTTTTTCGAGAATCTGCAAGTGGACGTTTGGAGGGCTTTGAGGCCTGTGGTGGAAAAGGAAATATCTTCACATAAAAACTAGATAGAAGCATTCTCAGAAACGACTTTGTGAGGATGGCATTCAACTCATGGAGTTGAACAATCCTATTGATAGAGCAGATTGGAATCACTCTTTTTGTGGAATCTGCAAATGGAGATTTGGACTGCTTTGAGGCCTACGGTCGTATAGGAAGGAACTTCAGATAAAAGGCAAACGGAAGCATTCTCAGAATATTCTTTGTGATGATGGAGTTTCACTGACAGAGCTGAACATGCCTTTTGATGGAGCAGTTTCCAAATACACTTTTGGTAGAATCTGCAGGTGGATATTTGGAGCTCTCTGAGGATTTCGTTGGAAAGGGGAATAATTTCCCATAACTAAACACAAACACTCTGAGAAAGTTCTTCATGATGAATGCATTTAACTCGCAGAGATGAACCTGCCTTTGAGAGTTCAGGTTCGAAACACTCTTTCTGTAGAATCTGCAAGTGGATATTTGGACCACTGGCTGGCCTTCGTTCGAAACGGGTATATGTTCACGTAAAAACTAAAGAGAAGCATTCTCAGAAACTTCTGAGTGATGATTGCATTCAAGTCACACAGTTGAACCCGCCTTTTGATTGAGCAGTTTTGAAACTGTCTTTTTGTAGAATCTGTAAGTGGATACGTGGACCTCTTGGAAGATGTCTTTGGAAACGGGAATATTTCCACAGAAAAACTAAACTGAAGCATTCTCAGAAACTGCTTTGTGATGTTGGTGTTCGAGCCGCAGAGTTTAACATTGCTTTTCATAGAGCAGTTTTGAAATATTCTTTTGGCAGAATCTGCAAGTGGACATTTAGAGCGTTTTCAGGCCTGTGGTGGAAAAGGCCTGAAAGCCTTTTCCTTTATCTTCACAGAAAGACGAGAGAGAAGCATTGTCAGAAACTGCTTTGTGATGATTGCATTCAACCCACAGAGTTGTAGATTCCTTTTGAAACAGCAGTTTCGAAACACTCTTTCTGTGGGATCCGCAAGGGGATATTTGGACCTCTTTGAAGATTTCGTTGGAAACGGGATAATCTTCACCTAAAAGCTAAACGGAAGCATTCTCAGAAACTTCTTTGGGATGTTTGCATTCACCTCACAGAGTTGAACTTTCCCTTTGATAGCGCAGCTTCGACACACTTTTTCTACAATGTGCAAGTGGATATTTGGCGGGCTTGGAGGACTGTGTTGGAAAAGGAAATATCTTCTCCTAAAAACGACATAGAAGCATTCTCAGAAACTGCTCTGTGATGATTGCATTCAACTCCCAGAGTTGAACATTCCTTTTGATAGAGCAGTTTGCAAACACTCTTTTTGTAGAATCTGCAAGTGGAGATTTGGACCGCTTTGAGGCCTGTGGTAGTGAAGGAAAGAACTTCATATAAAAACCTAGACGGTAGCACTCTCAGAAAATTCTTTGTGACGATGTAGTTTAACTCAGGGAGCTGAACATTCGTTATGATGGAGCAGTTTCCAAACACACGTTTTGTAGAATCTGCAAGGGGATATTTGGACCTCTCTGAGGATTTCGTTGGAAACGGGATCAACTTCCCATAACTGAACGGAAGCAAACTCAGAACATTCTTTGTGATGTTTGTATTCAACTCACAGAGTTGAACCTTCCTTTGATAGTTCAGGTTTGCAACACCCTTGTAGTAGAATCTGCAAGTGTATATTTTGACCACTTTGTAGCCTTCGTTTGAAACGTCTATATCTTCACATCAAACCTAGACAGAAGCATTCTCAGAAAGTTTTCTGCGATGACTGCATTCAACTCACAGAGTTGAACAATCCTTCTGATGGAGCAGTTTTGAAACCCTCTTTCTTTGGAATCTGCAAGGGGATATGTGGACCTCTTTGAAGATTTCACTGGAAACGGGATCATCTTCACATAAAAACTAAACAGAAGCATTCTCGGAAACTACTTTGTGATGTTTGTATTCAACTCCCAGAGTTGAACTTTCCTTTTGAAAGAGCAGCTATGAAACACTCTTTTTCGAGAATCTGCAAGTGGACGTTTGGAGGGCTTTGAGGCCTGTGGTGGAAAAGGAAATATCTTCACACAAAAACCAGATAGAAGCATTCTCAGAAACTACTTTGTGAGGATGGCATTCAACTCATGGAGTTGAACAATCCTATTGATAGAGCAGATTGGAATCACTCTTTTTGTAGAATCTGCAAATGGAGATTTGGACTGCTTTGAGGCCTACGGTAGTACAGGAAGGAACTTCATATAAAAGGCAAACGGAAGCATTCTCAGAATATTCTTTGTGATGATGGAGTTTCACTCACAGAGCTGAACATGCCTTTTGATGGAGCAGTTTCCAAATACACTTTTGGTAGAATCTGCAGGTGGATATTTGGAGCTCTCTGAGGATTTCGTTGGAAAGGGGAATAATTTCCCATAACTAAACACAAACACTCTGAGAAAGTTCTTCATGATGAATGCATTTAACTCGCAGAGATGAACCTGCCTTTGAGAGTTCAGGTTCGAAACACTCTTTCTGTATAATCTGCAAGTGGATATTTGGACCACTGGGTGGCCTTCGTTCGAAACGGGTATATGTTCACGTAAAAACTAAAGAGAAGCATTCTCAGAAATTTCTGAGTGATGATTGCATTCAAGTCACACGGTTGAACCCTCCTTTTGATGGAGCAGTTTGAAACTGTCTTTTTGTAGAATCTGTAAGTGGATACGTGGACCTCTTTGAAGATTTCTTTCGAAACGGGAATATTTCCACAGAAAAACTAAACTGAAGCATTCTCAGAAACCGCTTTGTGATGTTTGTGTTCGAGCCACAGAGTTTAACATTGCTTTTCATAGAGCAGTTTTGAAATATTCTTTTCGCAGAATCTGCAAGTGGACATTTGGAGCGCTTTCAGGCCTGTGGTGGAAAAGGCCTGAAAGCCTTTTCCTTTATCTTCACAGAAAGACGAGAGAGAAGCATTGTCAGAAACTTCTTTGTGATGATTGCATTCAACTCACAGAGTTGAAGATTCCTTTTGAAACAGCAGTTTCGAAACACTCTTTCTGTGGGATCCGCAAGGGGATATTTGGACCTCTTTGAAGGTTTCGTTGGAAACGGGATAATCTTCACCTAAAAGCTAAACGGAAGCATTCTCAGAAACTTCTTTGGGATGTTTGCATTCACCTCACAGAGTTGAACTTTCCCTTTGATAGCGCAGCTTTGACTCACTTTTTCTACAATGTGCAAGTGGCTATTTAGCGGGCTTGGAGGACTGTGTTGGAAAAGGAAATATCTTCTCCTAAAAACGACATAGAAGCATTCTCAGAAACTGCTCTGTGATGATTGCATTCAACTCCCAGAGTTGAACATTCCTTTTGATAGAGCAGTTTGCAAACACTCTTTTTGTAGAATCTGCAAGTGGAGATTTGGACCGCTTTGAGGCCTGTGGTAGTGAAGGAAAGAACTTCATATAAAAACCAGACGGTAGCACTCTCAGAAAATTCTTTGTGATGATGGAGTTTAACTCAGGGAGCTGAACATTCGTTATGATGGAGCAGTTTCCAAACACACGTTTTGTAGAATCTGCAAGGGGATATTTGGACCTCTCTGAGGATTTCGTTGGAAACGGGATCAACTTCCCATAACTGAACGGAAGCAAACTCAGAACATTCTTTGTGATGTTTGTATTCAACTCACAGAGTTGAACCTTCCTTTGATAGTTCAGGTTTGCAACACCCTTGTAGTAGAATCTGCAAGTGTATATTTTGACCACTTTGTAGCCTTCGTTTGAAACGTCTATATCGTCACATCAAACCTAGACAGAAGCATTCTCAGAAAGTTTTCTGCGATGACTGCATTCAACTCACAGAGTTGAACAATCCTTCTGATGGAGCAGTTTTGAAACCCTCTTTCTTTGGAATCTGCAAGGGGATATGTGGACCTCTTTGAAGATTTCACTGGAAACGGGATCATCTTCAAATAAAAACTAAACAGAAGCATTCTCGGAAACTACTTTGTGATGTTTGTATTCAACTCCCAGAGTTGAACTTTCCTTTTGAAAGAGCAGCTATGAAACACTCTTTTTCGAGAATCTGCAAGTGGACGTTTGGAAGGCTTTGAGGCCTGTGGTGGAAAAGGAAATATCTTCACATAAAAACTAGATAGAAGCATTCTCAGAAACGACTTTGTGAGGATGGCATTCAACTCATGGAGTTGAACAATCCTATTGATAGAGCAGATTGGAATCACTCTTTTTGTAGAATCTGCAAATGGAGATTTGGACTGCTTTGAGGCCTACGGTCGTATAGGAAGGAACTTCATATAACAGGCAAACGGAAGCATTCTCAGAATATTCTTTGTGATGATGGAGTTTCACTCACAGAGCTGAACATGCCTTTTGATGGAGCAGTTTCCAAATACACTTTTGGTAGAATCTGCAGGTGGATATTTGGAGCTCTCTGAGGATTTCGTTGGAAACGGGAATAATTTCCCATAACTAAACACAAACACGCTGAGAAAGTTCTTCATGATGAATGCATTTAACTCGCAGAGATGAACCTGCCTTTGAGAGTTCAGGTTCGAAACACTCTTTCTGTAGAATCTGCAAGTGGATATTTGGACCACTGGCTGGCCTTCGTTCGAAACGGGTATATGTTCACGTAAAAACTAAAGAGAAGCGTTCTCAGAAACTTCTGAGTGATGATTGCATTCTAGTCACACAGTTGAACCCTCCTTTTGATTGAGCAGTTTTGAAACTGTCTTTTTGTAGAATCTGTAAGTGGATGCGTGGACCTCTTTGAAGATTTCTTTGGAAACGGGAATATTTCCACAGAAAAACTAAACTGAAGCATTCTCAGAAACCGCTTTTTGATGTTTGTGTTCGAGCCACAGAGTTTAACATTGCTTTTCATAGAGCAGTTTTGAAATATTCTTTTCGCAGAATCTGCAAGTGGACATTTGGAGCGCTTTCAGGCCTGTGGTGGAAAAGGCCTGAAAGCCTTTTCCTTTATCTTCACAGAAAGACGAGAGAGAAGCATTGTCAGAAACTTCTTTGTGATGATTGCATTCAACTCACAGAGTTGAAGATTCCTTTTGAAACAGCAGTTTCGAAACACTCTTTCTGTGGGATCCGCAAGGGGATATTTGGACCTCTTTGAAGATTTCGTTGGAAACGGGATAATCTTCACCTAAAAGCTAAACGGAAGCATTCTCAGAAACTTCTTTGGGATGTTTGCATTCACCTCACAGAGTTGAACTTTCCCTTTGATAGCGCAGCTTCGACACACTTTTTCTACAATGTGCAAGTGGATATTTAGCGGGCTTGGAGGACTGTGTTGGAAAAGGAAATGTCTTCTCCTAAAAACGACATAGAAGCATTCTCAGAAACTGCTCTGTGATGATTGCATTCAACTCCCAGAGTTGGACATTCCTTTTGATAGAGCAGTTTGCAAACACTCTTTTTGTAGAATCTGCAAGTGGAGATTTGGACCGCTTTGAGGCCTGTGGTAGTAAAGGAAAGAACGTCATATAAAAACTAGACGGTAGCACTCTCAGAAAATTCTTTGTGACGATGGAGTTTAACTCAGAGAGCTGAACATTCGTTATGATGGAGCAGTTTCCAAACACACGTTTTGTAGAATCTGCAAGGGGATATTTGGACCTCTCTGAGGATTTCGTTGGAAACGGGATCAACTTCCCATAACTGAACGGAAGCAAACTCAGAACATTCTTTGTGATGTTTGTATTCAACTCACAGAGTTGAACCTTCCTCTGATAGTTCAGGTTTGCATCACCCTTGTAGTAGAATCTGCAAGTGTATATTTTGACCACTTTGTAGCCTTCGTTTGAAACGTCTATATCTTCACATCAAACCTAGACAGAAGCATTCTCAGAAAGTTTTCTGCGATGACTGCATTCAACTCACAGAGTTGAACAATCCTTTTGATGGAGCAGTTTTGAAACCCTCTTTCTTTGGAATCTGCAAGGGGATATGTGGACCTCTTTGAAGATTTCACTGGAAACGGGATCATCTTCACATAAGAACTAAACAGAAGCATTCTCGGAAACTACTTTGTGATGTTTGTATTCAACTCCCAGAGTTGAATTTTCCTTTTGAAAGAGCAGCTATGAAACACTCTTTTTCGAGAATCTGCAAGTGGACGTTTGGAGGGCTTTGAAGCCTGTGGTGGAAAAGGAAATATCTTCACATAAAAACTAGATAGAAGCATTCTCAGAAACTACTTTGTGAGGATGGCATTCAACTCATGGAGTTGAACAATCCTATTGATAGAGCAGATTGGAATCACTCTTTTTGTAGAATCTGCAAATGGAGATTTGGACTGCTTTGAGGCCTACGGTAGTATAGGAAGGAATTTCATATAAAAGGCAAACGGAAGCATTCTCAGAATATTCTTTGTGATGATGGAGTTTCACTCACAGAGCTGAACATGCCTTTTCATGGAGCAGTTTCCAAATACACTTTTGGTAGAATCTGCAGGTGGATATTTGGAGCTCTCTGAGGATTTCTTTGGAAACGGGAATAATTTCCCATAACTAAACACAAACACGCTGAGAAAGTTCTTCATGATGAATGCATTGAACTCGGAGAGATGAACCTGCCTTTGAGAGTTCAGGTTCGAAACACTCTTTCTGTAGAATCTGCAAGTGGATATTTGGACCACTGTGTGGCCTTCGTTCGAAACGGGTATATGTTCACGTAAAAACTAAAGAGAAGCATTCTCAGAAACTTCTGAGTGATGATTGCATTCAAGTCACACGGTTGAACCCTCCTTTTGATTGAGCAGTTTTGAAACTGTCTTTTTGTAGAATCTGTAAGTGGATACGTGGACCTCTTTTAAGATTTCTTTCGAAACGGGAATATTTCCACAGAAAAACTAAACTGAAGCATTCTCAGAAACTGCTTTGTGATGTTTGTGTTCGAGCCACAGAGTTTAACATTGCTTTTCATAGAGCAGTTTTGAAATATTCTTTTGGCAGAATCTGCAAGTGGACATTTGGAGCGCTTTCAGGCCTGTGGTGGAAAAGGCCTGAAAGCCTTTTCCTTTATCTTCACAGAAAGACGAGAGAGAAGCATTGTCAGAAACTTCTTTGTGATGATTGCATTCAACTCACAGAGTTGAAGATTCCTTTTGAAACAGCAGTTTCGAAACACTCTTTCTGTGGGATCCGCAAGGGGATATTTGGACCTCTTTGAAGGTTTCGTTGGAAACGGGATAATCTTCACCTAAAAGCTAAACGGAAGCATTCTCAGAAACTTCTTTGGGATGTTTGCATTCACCTCACAGAGTTGAACTTTCCCTTTGATAGCGCAGCTTCGACACACTTTTTCTACAATGTGCAAGTGGCTATTTAGCGGGCTTGGAGGACTGTGTTGGAAAAGGAAATATCTTCTCCTAAAAACGACATAGAAGCATTCTCAGAAACTGCTCTGTGATGATTGCATTCAACTCCCAGAGTTGAACATTCCTTTTGATAGAGCAGTTTGCAAACACTCTTTTTGTAGAATCTGCAAGTGGAGATTTGGACCGCTTTGAGGCCTGTGGTAGTAAAGGAAAGAACTTCATATAAAAACCAGACGGTAGCACTCTCAGAAAATTCTTTGTGACGATGGAGTTTAACTCAGAGAGCTGAACATTCGTTATGATGGAGCAGTTTCCAAACACACGTTTTGTAGAATCTGCAAGGGGATATTTGGACCTCTCTGAGGATTTCGTTGGAAACGGGATCAACTTCCCATAACTGAACGGAAGCAAACTCAGAACATTCTTTGTGATGTTTGTATTCAACTCACAGAGTTGAACCTTCCTTTGATAGTTCAGGTTTGCAACACCCTTGTAGTAGAATCTGCAAGTGTATATTTTGACCACTTTGTAGCCTTCGTTTGAAACGTCTATATCTTCACCTCAAACCTAGACAGAAGCATTCTCAGAAAGTTTTCTGCGATGACTGCATTCAACTCACAGAGTTGAACAATCCTTTTGATGGAGCAGTTTTGAAACCTTCTTTCTTTGGAATCTGCAAGGGGATATGTGGACCTCTTTGAAGATTTCACTGGAAACGGGATCATCTTCACATAAGAACTAAACAGAAGCATTCTCGGGAAACTACTTTGTGATGTTTGTATTCAACTCCCAGAGTTGAACTTTCCTTTTGAAAGAGCAGCTATGAAACACTCTTTTTCGAGAATCTGCAAGTGGACGTTTGGAGGGCTTTGAGGCCTGTGGTGGAAAAGGAAATATCTTCACATAAAAACTAGATAGAAGCATTCTCAGAAACTACTTTGTGAGGATGGCATTCAACTCATGGAGTTGAACAATCCTATTGATAGAGCAGATTGGAATCACTCTTTTTGTAGAATCTGCAAATGGAGATTTGGACTGCTTTGAGGCCTACGGTCGTATAGGAAGGAACTTCATATAAAAGGCAAACGGAAGCATTCTCAGAATATTCTTTGTGATGATGGAGTTTCACTCACAGAGCTGAACATGCCTTTTGATGGAGCAGTTTCCAAATACACTTTTGGTAGAATCTGCAGGTGGATATTTGGAGCTCTCTGAGGATTTCGTTGGAAACGGGAATAATTTCCCATAACTAAACACAAACACTCTGAGAAAGTTCTTCATGATGAATGCATTTAACTCGCAGAGATGAACCTGCCTTTGAGAGTTCAGGTTCGAAACACTCTTTCTGTAGAATCTGCAAGTGGATATTTGGACCACTGGCTGGCCTTCGTTCGAAACGGGTATATGTTCACGTAAAAACTAAAGAGAAGCATTCTCAGAAACTTCTGAGTGATGATTGCATTCAAGTCACACAGTTGAACCCTCCTTTTGATGGAGCAGTTTTGAAACTGTCTTTTTGTAGAATCTGTAAGTGGATAAGTGGACCTCTTTGAAGATTTCTTTGGAAACGGGAATATTTCCACAGAAAAACTAAACTGAAGCATTCTCAGAAACCGCTTTGTGATGTTTGTGTTCGAGCCACAGAGTTTAACATTGCTTTTCATAGAGCAGTTTTGAAATATTCTTTTGGCAGAATCTGCAAGTGGACATTTGGAGCGCTTTCAGGCCTGTGGTGGAAAAGGCCTGAAAGCCTTTTCCTTTATCTTCACAGAAAGACGAGAGAGAAGCATTCTCAGAAACTTCTTTGGGATGTTTGCATTCACCTCACAGAGTTGAACTTTCCCTTTGATAGCGCAGCTTCGACACACTTTTTCTACAATGTGCAAGTGGATATTTAGCGGGCTTGGAGGACTGTGTTGGAAAAGGAAATATCTTCTCCTAAAAACGACATAGAAGCATTCTCAGAAACTGCTCTGTGATGATTGCATTCAACTCCCAGAGTTGAACATTCCTTTTGATAGAGCAATTTGCAAACACTCTTTTTGTAGAATCTGCAAGTGGAGATTTGGACCGCTTTGAGGCCTGTGGTAGTAAAGGAAAGAACTTCATATAAAAAGTAGACGGTAGCACTCTCAGAAAATTCTTTGTGACGATGGAGTTTAACTCAGAGAGCTGAACATTCGTTATGATGGAGCAGTTTCCAAACACACGTTTTGTAGAATCTGCAAGGGGATATTTGGACCTCTCTGAGGATTTCGTTGGAAACGGGATCAACTTCCCATAACTGAACGGAAGCAAACTCAGAACATTCTTTGTGATGTTTGCATTCATCTCACAGAGTTGAACCTTCCTTTGATAGTTGAGGTTTGCAACACCCTTGTAGTAGAATCTGCAAGTGTATATTTTGACCACTTTGTAGCCTTCGTTTGAAACGTCTATATCTTCACATCAAACCTAGACAGAAGCATTCTCAGAAAGTTTTCTGCGATGACTGCATTCAACTCACAGAGTTGAACAATCCTTTTGATGGAGCAGTTTTGAAACCCTCTTTCTTTGGAATCTGCAAGGGGATATGTGGACCTCTTTGAAGATTTCACTGGAAACGGGATCATCTTCACATAAGAACTAAACAGAAGCATTCTCGGAAACTACTTTGTGATGTTTGTATTCAACTCCCAGAGTTGAACTTTCCTTTTGAAAGAGCAGCTATGAAACACTCTTTTTCGAGAATCTGCAAGTGGACGTTTGGAGGGCTTTGAGGCCTGTGGTGGAAAAGGAAATATCTTCACATAAAAACTACATAGAAGCATTCTCAGAAACTACTTTGTGAGGATGGCATTCAACTCATGGAGTTGAACAATCCTATTGATAGAGCAGATTGGAATCACTCTTTTTGTAGAATCTGCAAATGGAGATTTGGACTGCTTTGAGGCCTACGGTAGTATAGGAAGGAACTTCATATAAAAGGCAAACGGAAGCATTCTCAGAATATTCTTTGTGATGACGGAGTTTCACTCACAGAGCTGAACATGCCTTTTCATGGAGCAGTTTCCAAATACACTTTTGGTAGAATCTGCAGGTGGATATTTGGAGCTCTCTGAGGATTTCGTTGGAAACGGGAATAATTTCCCATAACTAAACACAAACACGCTGAGAAAGTTCTTCATGATGAATGCATTTAACTCGCAGAGATGAACCTGCCTTTGAGAGTTCAGGTTCAAAACACTCTTTCTGTAGAATCTGCAAGTGGATATTTGGACCACTGGCTGGCCTTCATTCGAAACGGGTATATGTTCACGTAAAAACTAAAGAGAAGCGTTCTCAGAAACTTCTGAGTGATGAATGCATTCAAGTCACACAGTTGAACCCTCCTTTTGATTGAGCAGTTTTTAAACTGTCTTTTTGTAGAATCTGTAAGTGGATGCGTGGACCTCTTTGAAGATTTCTTTGGAAACGGGAATATTTCCACAGAAAAACTAAACTGAAGCATTCTCAGAAACTGCTTTGTGATGTTTGTGTTCGAGCCGCAGAGTTTAACATTGCTTTTCATAGAGCAGTTTTGAAATATTCTTTTGGCAGAATCTGCAAGTGGACATTTGGAGCGCTTTCAGGCCTGTGGTGGAAAAGGCCTGAAAGCCTTTTCCTTTATCTTCACAGAAAGACGAGAGAGAAGCATTGTCAGAAACTTCTTTGTGATGATTGCATTCAACTCACAGAGTTGAAGATTCCTTTTGAAACAGCAGTTTCGAAACACTCTTTCTGTGGGATCCGCAAGGGGATATTTGGACCTCTTTGAAGATTTCGTTGGAAACGGGATAATCTTCACTTAAAGCTAAACGGAAGCATTCTCAGAAACTTCTTTGGGATGTTTGCATTCACCTCACAGAGTTGAACTTTCCCTTTGATAGCGCAGCTTCGACACACTTTTTCTACAATGTGTAAGTGGATATTTAGCGGGCTTGGAGGACTGTGTTGGAAAAGGAAATATCTTCTCCTAAAAACGACATAGAAGCATTCTCAGAAACTGCTCTGTGATGATTGCATTCAACTCCCAGAGTTGAACATTCCTTTTGATAGAGCAATTTGCAAACACTCTTTTTGTAGAATCTGCAAGTGGAGATTTGGACCGCTTTGAGGCCTGTGGTAGTAAAGGAAAGAACTTCATATAAAAACTAGAAGGTAGCACCCTCAGAAAATTCTTTGTGACGATGGAGTTTAACTCAGAGAGCTGAACATTCGTTATGATGGAGCAGTTTCCAAACACACGTTTTGTAGAATCTGCAAGGGGATATTTGGACCTCTCTGAGGATTTCGTTGGAAACGGGATCAACTTCCCATAACTGAACGGAAGCAAACTCAGAACATTCTTTGTGATGTTTGCATTCATCTCACAGAGTTGAACCTTCCTTTGATAGTTGAGGTTTGCAACACCCTTGTAGTAGAATCTGCAAGTGTATATTTTGACCACTTTGTAGCCTTCGTTTGAAACGTCTATATCTTCACATCAAACCTAGACAGAAGCATTCTCAGAAAGTTTTCTGCGATGACTGCATTCAACTCACAGAGTTGAACAATCCTTTTGATGGAGCAGTTTTGAAACCCTCTTTCTTTGGAATCTGCAAGGGGATATGTGGACCTCTTTGAAGATTTCACTGGAAACGGGATCATCTTCACATAAGAACTAAACAGAAGCATTCTCGGAAACTACTTTGTGATGTTTGTATTCAACTCCCAGAGTTGAACTTTCCTTTTGAAAGAGCAGCTATGAAACACTCTTTTTCGAGAATCTGCAAGTGGACGTTTGGAGGGCTTTGAGGCCTGTGGTGGAAAAGGAAATATCTTCACATAAAAACTACATAGAAGCATTCTCAGAAACTACTTTGTGAGGATGGCATTCAACTCATGGAGTTGAACAATCCTATTGATAGAGCAGATTGGAATCACTCTTTTTGTAGAATCTGCAAATGGAGATTTGGACTGCTTTGAGGCCTACGGTAGTATAGGAAGGAACTTCATATAAAAGGCAAACGGAAGCATTCTCAGAATATTCTTTGTGATGACGGAGTTTCACTCACAGAGCTGAACATGCCTTTTCATGGAGCAGTTTCCAAATACACTTTTGGTACAATCTGCAGGTGGATATTTGGAGCTCTCTGAGGATTTCGTTGGAAACGGGAATAATTTCCCATAACTAAACACAAACACGCTGAGAAAGTTCTTCATGATGAATGCATTTAACTCGCAGAGATGAACCTGCCTTTGAGAGTTCAGGTTCAAAACACTCTTTCTGTAGAATCTGCAAGTGGATATTTGGACCACTGGCTGGCCTTCGTTCGAAACGGGTATATGTTCACGTAAAAACTAAAGAGAAGCGTTCTCAGAAACTTCTGAGTGATGAATGCATTCAAGTCACACAGTTGAACCCTCCTTTTGATTGAGCAGTTTTGAAACTGTCTTTTTGTAGAATCTGTAAGTGGATGCGTGGACCTCTTTGAAGATTTCTTTGGAAACGGGAATATTTCCACAGAAAAACTAAACTGAAGCATTCTCAGAAACTGCTTTGTGATGTTTGTGTTCGAGCCACAGAGTTTAACATTGCTTTTCATAGAGCAGTTTTGAAATATTCTTTTGGCAGAATCTGCAAGTGGACATTTGGAGCGCTTTCAGGCCTGTGGTGGAAAAGGCCTGAAAGCCTTTTCCTTTATCTTCACAGAAAGACGAGAGAGAAGCATTGTCAGAAACTTCTTTGTGATGATTGCATTCAACTCACAGAGTTGAAGATTCCTTTTGAAACAGCAGTTTCGAAACACTCTTTCTGTGGGATCCGCAAGGGGATATTTGGACCTCTTTGAAGGTTTCGTTGGAAACGGGATAATCTTCACCTAAAAGCTAAACGGAAGCATTCTCAGAAACTTCTTTGGGATGTTTGCATTCACCTCACAGAGTTGAACTTTCCCTTTGATAGCGCAGCTTCGACACACTTTTTCTACAATGTGCAAGTGGATATTTAGCGGGCTTGGAGGACTGTGTTGGAAAAGGAAATATCTTCTCCTAAAAACGACATAGAAGCATTCTCAGAAACTGCTCTGTGATGATTGCATTCAACTCCCAGAGTTGAACATTCCTTTTGATAGAGCAGTTTGCAAACACTCTTTTTGTAGAATCTGCAAGTGGAGATTTGGACCGCTTTGAGGCCTGTGGTAGTGAAGGAAAGAACTTCATATAAAAACCAGACGGTAGCACTCTCAGAAAATTCTTTGTGACGATGGAGTTTAACTCAGGGAGCTGAACATTCGTTAAGATGGAGCAGTTTCCAAACACACGTTTTGTAGAATCTGCAAGGGGATATTTGGACCTCTCTGAGGATTTCGTTGGAAACGGGATCAACTTCCCATAACTGAACGGAAGCAAACTCAGAACATTCTTTGTGATGTTTGTATTCAACTCACAGAGTTGAACCTTCCTTTGATAGTTCAGGTTTGCAACACCCTTGTAGTAGAATCTGCAAGTGTATATTTTGACCACTTTGTAGCCTTCGTTTGAAACCTCTATATCTTCACATCAAACCTAGACAGAAGCATTCTCAGAAAGTTTTCTGCGATGACTGCATTCAACTCACAGAGTTGAACAATCCTTCTGATGGAGCAGTTTTGAAACCCTCTTTCTTTGGAATCTGCAAGGGGATATGTGGACCTCTTTGAAGATTTCACTGGAAACGGGATCATCTTCACATAAAAACTAAACAGAAGCATTCTCGGAAACTACTTTGTGATGTTTGTATTCAACTCCCAGAGTTGAACTTTCCTTTTGAAAGAGCAGCTATGAAACACTCTTTTTCGAAAATCTGCAAGTGGACGTTTGGAGGGCTTTGAGGCCTGTGGTGGAAAAGGAAATATCTTCACATAAAGACTAGATAGAAGCATTCTCAGAAACTACTTTGTGAGGATGGCATTCAACTCATGGAGTTGAACAATCCTATTGATAGAGCAGATTGGAATCACTCTTTTTGTAGAATCTGCAAATGGAGATTTGGACTGCTTTGAGGCCTACGGTAGTATAGGAAGGAACTTCATATAAAAGGCAAACGGAAGCATTCTCAGAATATTCTTTGTGATGATGGAGTTTCACTCACAGAGCTGAACATGCCTTTTGATGGAGCAGTTTCCAAATACACTTTTGGTAGAATCTGCAGGTGGATATTTGGAGCTCTCTGAGGATTTCGTTGGAAACGGGAATAATTTCCCATAACTAAACACAAACACTCTGAGAAAGTTCTTCATGATGAATGCATTTAACTCGCAGAGATGAACCTGCCTTTGAGAGTTCAGGTTCGAAACATTCTTTCTGTAGAATCTGCAAGTGGATATTTGGACCACTGGCTGGCCTTGGTTCGAAAAGGTTATATGTTCACGTAAAAACTAAAGAGAAGCATTCTCAGAAACTTCTGAGTGATGATTGCATTCAAGTCACACAGTTGAACCCTCCTTTTGATGGAGCAGTTTTGAAACTGTCTTTTTGTAGAATCTGTAAGTGGATACGTGGACCTCTTTGAAGATTTCTTTGGAAACGGGAATATTTCCACAGAAAAACTAAACTGAAACATTCTCAGAAACCGCTTTGTGATGTTTGTGTTCCAGCCACAGAGTTTAACATTGCTTCTCATAGAGCAGTTTTGAAATATTCTTTTGGCAGAATCTGCAAGTGGACATTTGGAGCGCTTTCAGGCCTGTGGTGGAAAAGGCCTGAAAGCCTTTTCCTTTATCTTCACAGAAAGACGAGAGAGAAGCATTGTCAGAAACTTCTTTGTGATGATTGCATTCAACTCACAGACTTGAAGATTCCTTTTGAAACAGCAGTTTCGAAACACTCTTTCTGTGGGATCCGCAAGGGGATATTTGGACCTCTTTGAAGGTTTCGTTGGAAACGGGATAATCTTCACCTAAAAGCTAAACGGAAGCATTCTCAGAAACTTCTTTGGGATGTTTGCATTCACCTCACAGAGTTGAACTTTCCCTTTGATAGCGCAGCTTTGACACACTTTTTCTACAATGTGCAAGTGGCTATTTAGCGGGCTTGGAGGACTGTGTTGGAAAAGGAAATATCTTCTCCTAAAAACGACATAGAAGCATTCTCAGAAACTGCTCTGTGATGATTGCATTCAACTCCCAGAGTTGAACATTCCTTTTGATAGAGCAGTTTGCAAACACTCTTTTTGTAGAATCTGCAAGTGGAGATTTGGACCGCTTTCAGGCCTGTGGTAGTGAAGGAAAGAACTTCATATAAAAACCAGACGGTAGCACTCTCAGAAAATTCTTTGTGACGATGGAGTTTAACTCAGGGAGCTGAACATTCGTTATGATGGAGCAGTTTCCAAACACACGTTTTGTAGAATCTGCGAGGGGATATTTGGACCTCTCTGAGGATTTCGTTGGAAACGGGATCAACTTCCCATAACTGAACGGAAGCAAACTCAGAACATTCTTTGTGATGTTTGTATTCAACTCACAGAGTTGAACCTTCCTTTGATAGTTCAGGTTTGCAACACCCTTGTAGTAGAATCTGCAAGTGTATATTTTGACCACTTTGTAGCCTTCGTTTGAAACGTCTATATCTTCACATCAAACCTAGACAGAAGCATTCTCAGAAAGTTTTCTGCGATGACTGCATTCAACTCACAGAGTTGAACAATCCTTCTGATGGAGCAGTTTTGAAACCCTCTTTCTTTGGAATCTGCAAGGGGATATGTGGACCTCTTTGAAGATTTCACTGGAAACGGGATCATCTTCACATAAAAACTAAACAGAAGCATTCTCGGAAACTACTTTGTGATGTTTGTATTCAACTCCCAGAGTTGAACTTTCCTTTTGAAAGAGCAGCTATGAAACACTCTTTTTCGAGAATCTGCAAGTGGACGTTTGGAGGGCTTTGAGGCCTGTGGTGGAAAAGGAAATATCTTCACATAAAAACTAGATAGAAGCATTCTCAGAAACGACTTTGTGAGGATGGCATTCAACTCATGGAGTTGAACAATCCTATTGATAGAGCAGATTGGAATCACTCTTTTTGTAGAATCTGAAAATGGAGATTTGGACTGCTTTGAGGCCTACGGTCGTATAGGAAGGAACTTCATATAAAAGGCAAACGGAAGCATTCTCAGAATATTCTTTGTGATGATGGAGTTTCACTCACAGAGCTGAACATGCCTTTTGATGGAGCAGTTTCCAAATACACTTTTGGTAGAATCTGCAGGTGGATATTTGGAGCTCTCTGAGGATTTCGTTGGAACCTGGAATAATTTCCCATAACTAAACACAAACACGCTGAGAAAGTTCTTCATGATGAATGCATTTAACTCGCAGAGATGAACCTGCCTTTGAGAGTTCAGGTTCGAAACACTCTTTCTGTAGAATCTGCAAGTGGATATTTGGACCACTGGCTGGCCTTCGTTCGAAACGGGTATATGTTCACGTAAAAACTAAAGAGAAGCATTCTCAGAAACTTCTGAGTGATGATTGCATTCAAGTCACACAGTTGAACCCTCCTTTTGATGGAGCAGTTTTGAAACTGTCTTTTTGTAGAATCTGTAAGTGGATACGTGGACCTCTTTGAAGATTTCTTTGGAAACGGGAATATTTCCACAGAAAAACTAAACTGAAGCATTCTCAGAAACCGCTTTGTGATGTTTGTGTTCGAGCCACAGAGTTTAACATTGCTTTTCATAGAGCAGTTTTGAAATATTCTTTTGGCAGAATCTGCAAGTGGACATTTGGAGCGCTTTCAGGCCTGTGGTGGAAAAGGCCTGAAAGCCTTTTCCTTTATCTTCACAGAAAGACGAGAGAGAAGCATTGTCAGAAACTTCTTTGTGATGATTGCATTCAACTCACAGAGTTGAAGATTCCTTTTGAAACAGCAGTTTCGAAACACTCTTTCTGTGGGATCCGCAAGGGGATATTTGGACCTCTTTGAAGGTTTCGTTGGAAACGGGATAATCTTCACCTAAAAGCTAAACGGAAGCATTCTCAGAAACTTCTTTGGGATGTTTGCATTCACCTCACAGAGTTGAACTTTCCCTTTGATAGCGCAGCTTTGACACACTGTTTCTACAATGTGCAAGTGGCTATTTAGCGGGCTTGGAGGACTGTGTTGGAAAAGGAAATATCTTCTCCTAAAAACGACATAGAAGCATTCTCAGAAACTGCTCTGTGATGATTGCATTCAACTCCCAGAGTTGAACATTCCTTTTGATAGAGCAGTTTGCAAACACTCTTTTTGTAGAATCTGCAAGTGGAGATTTGGACCGCTTTGAGGCCTGTGGTAGTGAAGGAAAGAACTTCATATAAAAACCAGACGGTAGCACTCTCAGAAAATTCTTTGTGACGATGGAGTTTAACTCAGGGAGCTGAACATTCGTTATGATGGAGCAGTTTCCAAACACACGTTTTGTAGAATCTGCAAGGGGATATTTGGACCTCTCTGAGGATTTCGTTGGAAACGGGATCAACTTCCCATAACTGAACGGAAGCAAACTCAGAACATTCTTTGCGATGTTTGTATTCAACCCACAGAGTTGAACCTTCCTTTGATAGTTCAGGTTTGCAACACCCTTGTAGTAGAATCTGCAAGTGTATATTTTGACCACTTTGTAGCCTTCGTTTGAAACGTCTATATCTTCACATCAAACCTAGACAGAAGCATTCTCAGAAAGTTTTCTGCGATGACTGCATTCAACTCACAGAGTTGAACAATCCTTCTGATGGAGCAGTTTTGAAACCCTCTTTCTTTGGAATCTGCAAGGGGATATGTGGACCTCTTTGAAGATTTCACTGGAAACGGGATCATCTTCACATAAAAACTAAACAGAAGCATTCTCGGAAACTACTTTGTGATGTTTGTATTCAACTCCCAGAGTTGAACTTTCCTTTTGAAAGAGCAGCTATGAAACACTCTTTTTCGAGAATCTGCAAGTGGACGTTTGGAGGGCTTTGAGGCCTGTGGTGGAAAAGGAAATATCTTCACATAAAAACTAGATAGAAGCATTCTCAGAAACGACTTTGTGAGGATGGCATTCAACTCATGGAGTTGAACAATCCTATTGATAGAGCAGATTGGAATCACTCTTTTTGTAGAATCTGCAAATGGAGATTTGGACTGCTTTGAGGCCTACGGTCGTATAGGAAGGAACTTCATATAAAAGGCAAACGGAAGCATTCTCAGAATATTCTTTGTGATGATGGAGTTTCACTCACAGAGCTGAACATGCCTTTTGATGGAGCAGTTTCCAAATACACTTTTGGTAGAATCTGCAGGTGGATATTTGGACCTCTCTGAGGATTTCGTTGGAAACGGGAATAATTTCCCATAACTAAATACAAACACTCTGAGAAAGTTCTTCATGATGAATGCATTTAACTCGCAGAGATGAACCTGCCTTTGAGAGTTCATGTTCGAAACACTCTTTCTGTAGAATCTGCAAGTGGATATTTGGACCACTGGCTGGCCTTCGTTCGAAACGGGTATATGTTCACGTAAAAACTAAAGAGAAGCATTCTCAGAAACTTCTGAGTGATGATTGCATTCAAGTCACACAGTTGAACCCTCCTTTTGATGGAGCAGTTTTGAAACTGTCTTTTTGTAGAATCTGTAAGTGGATACGTGGACCTCTTTGAAGATTTCTTTGGAAACGGGAATATTTCCACAGAAAAACTAAACTGAAGCATTCTCAGAAACCGCTTTGTGATGTTTGTGTTCGAGCCACAGAGTTTAACATTGCTTTTCATAGAGCAGTTTTGAAATATTCTTTTGGCAGAATCTGCAAGTGGACATTTGGAGCGCTTTCAGGCCTGTGGTGGAAAAGGCCTGAAAGCCTTTTCCTTTATCTTCACAGAAAGACGAGAGAGAAGCATTGTCAGAAACTTCTTTGTGATGATTGCATTCAACTCACAGAGTTGAAGATTCCTTTTGAAACAGCAGTTTCGAAACACTCTTTCTGTGGGATCCGCAAGGGGATATTTGGACCTCTTTGAAGGTTTCGTTGGAAACGGGATAATCTTCACCTAAAAGCTAAACGGAAGCATTCTCAGAAACTTCTTTGGGATGTTTGCATTCACCTCACAGAGTTGAACTTTCCCTTTGATAGCGCAGCTTTGACACACTTTTTCTACAATGTGCAAGTGGCTATTTAGCGGGCTTGGAGGACTGTGTTGGAAAAGGAAATATCTTCTCCTAAAAACGACATAGAAGCATTCTCAGAAACTGCTCTGTGATGATTGCATTCAACTCCCAGAGTTGAACATTCCTTTTGATAGAGCAGTTTGCAAACACTCTTTTTGTAGAATCTGCAAGTGGAGATTTGGACCGCTTTGAGGCCTGTGGTAGTGAAGGAAAGAACTTCATATAAAAACCAGACGGTAGCACTCTCAGAAAATTCTTTGTGACGATGGAGTTTAACTCAGGGAGCTGAACATTCGTTATGATGGAGCAGTTTCCAAACACACGTTTTGTAGAATCTGCAAGGGGATATTTGGACCTCTCTGAGGATTTCGTTGGAAACGGGATCAACTTCCCATAACTGAACGGAAGCAAACTCAGAACATTCTTTGTGATGTTTGTATTCAACTCACAGAGTTGAACCTTCCTTTGATAGTTCAGGTTTGCAACACCCTTGTAGTAGAATCTGCAAGTGTATATTTTGACCACTTTGTAGCCTTCGTTTGAAACATCTATATCTTCACACCAAACCTAGACAGAAGCATTCTCAGAAAGTTTTCTGCGATGACTGCATTCAACTCACAGAGTTGAACAATCCTTCTGATGGAGCAGTTTTGAAACCCTCTTTCTTTGGAATCTGCAAGGGGATATGTGGACCTCTTTGAAGATTTCACTGGAAACGGGATCATCTTCACATAAAAACTAAACAGAAGCATTCTCGGAAACTACTTTGTGATGTTTGTATTCAACTCCCAGAGTTGAACTTTCCTTTTGAAAGAGCAGCTATAAAACACTCTTTTTCGAGAATCTGCAAGTGGACGTTTGGAGGGCTTTGAGGCCTGTGGTGGAAAAGGAAATATCTTCACATAAAAACTAGATAGAAGCATTCTCAGAAACGACTTTGTGAGGATGGCATTCAACTCATGGAGTTGAACAATCCTATTGATAGAGCAGATTGGAATCACTCTTTTTGTAGAATCTGCAAATGGAGATTTGGACTGCTTTGAGGCCTACGGTCGTATAGGAAGGAACTTCAGATAAAAGGCAAACGGAAGCATTCTCAGAATATTCTTTGTGATGATGGAGTTTCACTCACAGAGCTGAACATGCCTTTTGATGGAGCAGTTTCCAAATACACTTTTGGTAGAATCTGCAGGTGGATATTTGGACCACTCTGAGGATTTCGTTGGAAACGGGAATAATTTCCCATAACTAAGCACAAACACTCTGAGAAAGTTCTTCATGATGAATGCATTTAACTCGCAGAGATGAACCTGCCTTTGAGAGTTCAGGTTCGAAACACTCTTTCTGTAGAATCTGCAAGTGGATATTTGGACCACTGGGTGGCCTTCGTTCGAAACGGGTATATGTTCACGTAAAAACTAAAGAGAAGCATTCTCAGAAACTTCTGAGTGATGATTGCATTCAAGTCACACAGTTGAACCCTCCTTTTGATGGAGCAGTTTTGAAACTGTCTTTTTGTAGAATCTGTAAGTGGATACGTGGACCCCCTTTGAAGATTTCTTTGGAAACGGGAATATTTCCACAGAAAAACTAAACTGAAGCATTCTCAGAAACTGCTTTGTGATGTTTGTGTTCGAGCGACAGAGTTTAACATTGCTTTTCATAGAGCAGTTTTGAAATATTCTTTTGGCAGAATCTGCAAGTGGACATTTGGAGCGCTTTCAGGCCTGTGGTGGAAAAGGCCTGAAAGCCTTTTCCTTTATCTTCACAGAAAGACGAGAGAGAAGCATTGTCAGAAACTTCTTTGTGATGATTGCATTCAACTCACAGAGTTGAAGATTCCTTTTGAAACAGCAGTTTCGAAACACTCTTTCTGTGGGATCCGCAAGGGGATATTTGGACCTCTTTGAAGGTTTCGTTGGAAACGGGATAATCTTCACCTAAAAGCTAAACGGAAGCATTCTCAGAAACTTCTTTGGGATGTTTGCATTCACCTCACAGAGTTGAACTTTCCCTTTGATAGCGCAGCTTTGACACACTTTTTCTACAATGTGCAAGTGGCTATTTAGCGGGCTTGGAGGACTGTGTTGGAAAAGGAAATATCTTCTCCTAAAAACGACATAGAAGCATTCTCAGAAACTGCTCTGTGATGATTGCATTCAACTCCCAGAGTTGAACATTCCTTTTGATAGAGCAGTTTGCAAACACTCTTTTTGTAGAATCTGCAAGTGGAGATTTGGACCGCTTTGAGGCCTGTGGTAGTGAAGGAAAGAACTTCATATAAAAACCAGACGGTAGCACTCTCAGAAAATTCTTTGTGACGATGGAGTTTAACTCAGGGAGCTGAACATTCGTTATGATGGAGCAGTTTCCAAACACACGTTTTGTAGAATCTGCGAGGGGATATTTGGACCTCTCTGAGGATTTCTTTGGAAACGGGATCAACTTCCCATAACTGAACGGAAGCAAACTCAGAACATTCTTTGTGATGTTTGTATTCAACTCACAGAGTTGAACCTTCCTTTGATAGTTCAGGTTTGCAACACCCTTGTAGTAGAATCTGCAAGTGTATATTTTGACCACTTTGTAGCCTTCGTTTGAAACGTCTATATCTTCACATCAAACCTGGACAGAAGCTTTCTCAGAAAGTTTTCTGCGATGACTGCATTCAACTCACAGAGTTGAACAATCCTTCTGATGGAGCAGTTTTGAAACCCTCTTTCTTTGGAATCTGCAAGGGGATATGTGGACCTCTTTGAAGATTTCACTGGAAACGGGATCATCTTCACATAAAAACTAAACAGAAGCATTCTCGGAAACTACTTTGTGATGTTTGTATTCAACTCCCAGAGTTGAACTTTCCTTTGGAAAGAGCAGCTATGAAACACTCTTTTTCGAGAATCTGCAAGTGGACGTTTGGAGGGCTTTGAGGCCTGTGGTGGAAAAGGAAATATCTTCACACAAAAACCAGATAGAAGCATTCTCAGAAACTACTTTGTGAGGATGGCATTCAACTCATGGAGTTGAACAATCCTATTGATAGAGCAGATTGGAATCACTCTTTTTATAGAATCTGCAAATGGAGATTTGGACTGCTTTGAGGCCTACGGTAGTACAGGAAGGAACTTCATATAAAAGGCAAACGGAAGCATTCTCAGAATATTCTTTGTGATGATGGAGTTTCACTCACAGAGCTGAACATGCCTTTTGATGGAGCAGTTTCCAAATACACTTTTGGTAGAATCTGCAGGTGGATATTTGGAGCTCTCTGAGGATTTCGTTGGAAACGGGAATAATTTCCCATAACTAAACACAAACACTCTGAGAAAGTTCTTCATGATGAATGCATTTAACTCACAGAGATGAACCTGCCTTTGAGAGTTCAGGTTCGAAACACTCTTTCTGTATAATCTGCAAGTGGATATTTGGACCACTGGGTGGCCTTCGTTCGAAACGGGTATATGTTCACCTAAAAACTAAAGAGAAGCATTCTCAGAAACTTCTGAGTGATGATTGCATTCAAGTCACACAGTTGAACCCTCCTTTTGATGGAGCAGTTTTGAAACTGTCTTTTTGTAGAATCTGTAAGTGGATACGTGGACGTCTTTGAAGATTTCTTTGGAAACGGGAATATTTCCACAGAAAAACTAAACTGAAGCATTCTCAGAAACTGCTTTGTGATGTTTGTGTTCGAGCCACAGAGTTTAACATTGCTTTTCATAGAGCAGTTTTGAAATATTCTTTTGGCAGAATCTGCAAGTGGACATTTGGAGCGCTTTCAGGCCTGTGGTGGCAAAGGCCTGAACGCCTTTTCCTTTATGTTCACAGAAAGACGAGAGAGAAGCATTGTCAGAAACTTCTTTGTGATGATTGCATTCAACTCACAGAGTTGAAGATTCCTTTTGAAACAGCAGTTTCGAAACACTCTTTCTGTGGGATCCGCAAGGGGATATTTGGACCTCTTTGAAGGTTTCGTTGGAAACGGGATAATCTTCACCTAAAAGCTAAACGGAAGCACTCTCAGAAACTTCTTTGGGATGTTTGCATTCACCTCTCAGAGTTGAACTTTCCCTTTGATAGCGCAGCTTTGACACACTTTTTCTACAATGTGCAAGTGGCTATTTAGCGGGCTTGGAGGACTGTGTTGGAAAAGGAAATATCTTCTCCTAAAAACGACATAGAAGCATTCTGAGAAACTGCTCTGTGATGATTGCATTCAACTCCCAGAGTTGAACATTCCTTTTGATAGAGCAGTTTGCAAACACTCTTTTTGTAGAATCTGCAAGTGGAGATTTGGACCGCTTTGAGGACTGGGGTAGTAAAGGAAAGAGCTTCATATAAAAACCAGACGGTAGCACTCTCAGAAAATTCTTTGTGACGATGGAGTTTAACTCAGGGAGCTGAACATTCGTTATGATGGAGCAGTTTCGAAACACACGTTTTGTAGAATCTGCAAGGGGATATTTGGACCTCTCTGAGGATTTCGTTGGAAACGGGATCAACTTCCCATAACTGAACGGAAGCAAACTCAGAAAATTCTTTGTGATGTTTGTATTCAACTCCCAGAGTTGAACTTTCCTTTTGAAAGAGCAGCTATGAAACACTCTTTTTCTAGAATCTGCAAGTGGACGTTTGGAGGGCTTTGAGGCCTGTGGTGGAAAAGGAAATATCTTCACATAAAAACTAGATAGAAGCATTCTCAGAAACTACTTTGTGAGGATGGCATTCAACTCATGGAGTTGAACAATCCTATTGATAGAGCAGATTGGAATCACTCTTTTTGTAGAATCTGCAAATGGAGATTTGGACTGCTTTGAGGCCTACGGTAGTATAGGAAGGAACTTCATATAAAAGGCGAACGGAAGCATTCTCAGAATATTCTTTGTGATGATGGAGTTTCACTCACAGAGCTGAACATGCCTTTTGATGGAGCAGTTTCCAAATACACTTTTGGTAGAATCTGCAGGTGGATATTTGGAGCTCTCTGAGGATTTCGTTGGAAAAGGGAATAATTTCCCATAACTAAACACAAACACTCTGAGAAAGTTCTTCATGATGAATGCATTTAACTCGCAGAGATGAACCTGCCTTTGAGAGTTCAGGTTCGAAACACTCTTTCTGTATAATCTGCAAGTGGATATTTGGACCACTGGGTGGCCTTCGTTCGAAACGGGTATATGTTCACGTAAAAACTAAAGAGAAGCATTCTCAGAAACTTCTGAGTGATGATTGCATTCAAGTCACACAGTTGAACCCTCCTTTTGATGGAGCAGTTTTGAAACTGTCTTTTTGTAGAATCTGTAAGTGGATACGTGGACCTCTTTGAAGATTTCTTTGGAAACGGGAATATTTCCACAGAAAAACTAAACTGAAGCATTCTCAGAAACTGCTTTGTGATGTTTGTGTTCGAGCCACAGAGTTTAACATTGCTTTTCATAGATCAGTTTTGAAATATTCTTTTCGCAGAATCTGCAAGTGGACATTTGGAGCGCTTTCAGGCCTGTGGTGGAAAAGGCCTGAAAGCCTTTTCCTTTATCTTCACAGAAAGACGAGAGAGAAGCATTGTCAGAAACTTCTTTGTGATGATTGCATTCAACTCACAGAGTTGAAGATTCCTTTTGAAACAGCAGTTTCGAAACACTCTTTCTGTGGGATCCGCAAGGGGATATTTGGACCTCTTTGAAGGTTTCGTTGGAAACGGGATAATCCTCACCTAAAAGCTAAACGGGAAGCATTCTCAGAAACTTCTTTGGGATGTTTGCATTCACCTCACAGAGTTGAACTTTCCCTTTGATAGCGCAGCTTCGACACACTTTTTCTACAATGTGCAAGTGGATATTTAGCGGGCTTGGAAGACTGTGTTGGAAAAGGAAATATCTTCTCCTAAAAACGACATAGAAGCATTCTCAGAAACTGCTCTGTGATGATTGCATTCAACTCCCAGAGTTGAACATTCCTTTTGATAGAGCAGTTTGCAAACACTCTTTTTGTAGAATCTGCAAGTGGAGATTTGGACCGCTTTGAGGCCTGTGGTAGTAAAGGAAAGAACTTCATATAAAAACCAGACGGTAGCACTCTCAGAAAATTCTTTGTGACGATGGAGTTTAACTCAGGGAGCTGAACATTCGTTATGATGGAGCAGTTTCCAAACACACGTTTTGTAGAATCTGCAAGGGGATATTTGGACCTCTCTGAGGATTTCGCTGGAAACGGGATCAACTTCCCATAACTGAACGGAAGCAAACTCAGAACATTCTTTGTGATGTTTGTATTCAACTCACAGAGTTGAACCTTCCTTTGATAGTTCAGGTTTGCAACACCCTTGTAGTAGAATCTGCAAGTGTATATTTTGACCACTTTGTAGCCTTCGTTTGAAACGTCTATATCTTCACATCAAACCTAGACAGAAGCATTCTCAGAAAGTTTTCTGCGATGACTGCATTCAACTCACAGAGTTGAACAATCCTTTTGATGGAGCAGTTTTGAAACCCTCTTTCTTTGGAATCTGCAAGGGGATATGTGGACCTCTTTGAAGATTTCACTGGAAACGGGATCATCTTCACATAAAAACTAAACAGAAGCAGTCTCGGAAACTATTTTGTGATGTTTGTATTCAACTCCCAGAGTTGAACTTTCCTTTTGAAAGAGCAGCTATGAAACACTCTTTTTCGAGAATCTGCAAGTGGACGTTTGGAGGGCTTTGAGGCCTGTGGTGGAAAAGGAAATATCTTCACACAAAAACCAGATAGAAGCATTCTCAGAAACTACTTTGTGAGGATGGCATTCAACTCATGGAGTTGAACAATCCTATTGATAGAGCAGATTGGAATCACTCTTTTTGTAGAATCTGCAAATGGAGATTTGGACTGCTTTGAGGCCTACGGTAGTACAGGAAGGAACTTCATATAAAAGGCAAACGGAAGCATTCTCAGAATATTCTTTGTGATGATGGAGTTTCACTCACAGAGCTGAACATGCCTTTTGATGGAGCAGTTTCCAAATACACTTTTGGTAGAATCTGCAGGTGGACATTTGGACCACTCTGAGGATTTCGTTGGAAACGGGAATAATTTCCCATAACTAAACACAAACACTCTGAGAAAGTTCTTCATGATGAATGCATTTAACTCGCAGAGATGAACCTGCCTTTGAGAGTTCAGGTTCGAAACACTCTTTCTGTAGAATCTGCAAGTGGATATTTGGACCACTGGGTGGCCTTCGTTCGAAACGGGTATATGTTCACGTAAAAACTAAAGAGAAGCATTCTCAGAAACTTCTGAGTGATGATTGCATTCAAGTCACACAGTTGAACCCTCCTTTTGATGGAGCAGTTTTGAAACTGTCTTTTTGTAGAATCTGTAAGTGGATACGTGGACCTCTTTGAAGATTTCTTTGGAAACGGGAATATTTCCACAGAAAAACTAAACTGAAACATTATCAGAAACCGCTTTGTGATGTTTGTGTTCCAGCCACAGAGTTTAACATTGCTTTTCATAGAGCAGTTTTGAAATATTCTTTTGGCAGAATCTGCAAGTGGACATTTGGAGCGCTTTCAGGCCTGTGGTGGCAAAGGCCTGAAAGCCTTTTCCTTTATCTTCACAGAAAGACGAGAGAGAAGCATTGTCAGAAACTTCTTTGTGATGATTGCATTCAACTCACAGAGTTGAAGATTCCTTTTGAAACAGCAGTTTCGAAACACTCTTTCTGTGGGATCCGCAAGGGGATATTTGGACCTCTTTGAAGGTTTCGTTGGAAACGGGATAATCTTCACCTAAAAGCTAAACGGAAGCATTCTCAGAAACTTCTTTGGGATGTTTGCATTCACCTCACAGAGTTGAACTTTCCCTTTGATAGCGCAGCTTTGACACACTTTTTCTACAATGTGCAAGTGGCTATTTAGCGGGCTTGGAGGACTGTGTTGGAAAAGGAAATATCTTCTCCTAAAAACGACATAGAAGGATTCTCAGAAACTGCTCTGTGATGATTGCATTCAACTCCCAGAGTTGAACATTCCTTTTGATAGAGCAGTTTGCAAACACTCTTTTTGTAGAATCTGCAAGTGGAGATTTGGACCGCTTTGAGGCCTGTGGTAGTGAAGGAAAGAACTTCATATAAAAACCAGACGGTAGCACTCTCAGAAAATTCTTTGTGACGATGGAGTTTAACTCAGGGAGCTGAACATTCGTTACGATGGAGCAGATTCCAAACACACGTTTTGTAGAATCTGCAAGGGGATATTTGGACCTCTCTGAGGATTTCGTTGGAAACGGGATCAACTTCCCATAACTGAACGGAAGCAAACTCAGAACATTCTTTGTTATGTTTGTATTCAACTCACAGAGTTGAACCTTCCTTTGATAGTTCAGGTTTGCAAAACCCTTGTAGTAGAATCTGCAAGTGTATATTTTGACCACTTTGTAGCCTTCGTTTGAAACGTCTATATCTTCACATCAAACCTAGACAGAAGCATTCTCAGAAAGTTTTCTGCGATGACTGCATTCAACTCACAGAGTTGAACAATCCTTCTGATGGAGCAGTTTTGAAACCCTCTTTCTTTGGAATCTGCAAGGGGATATGTGGACCTCTTTGAAGATTTCACTGGAAACGGGATCATCTTCACATAAAAACTAAACAGGAAGCATTCTCGGAAACTACTTTGTGATGTTTGTATTCAACTCCCAGAGTTGAACTTTCCTTTTGAAAGAGCAGCTATGAAACACTCTTTTTCGAGAATCTGCAAGTGGACGTTTGGAGGGCTTTGAGGCCTGTGGTGGAAAAGGAAATATCTTCACACAAAAACCAGATAGAAGCATTCTCAGAAACTACTTTGTGAGGATGGCATTCAACTCATGGAGTTGAACAATCCTATTGATAGAGCAGATTGGAATCACTCTTTTTATAGAATCTGCAAATGGAGATTTGGACTGCTTTGAGGCCTACGGTAGTACAGGAAGGAACTTCATATAAAAGGCAAACGGAAGCATTCTCAGAATATTCTTTGTGATGATGGAGTTTCACTCACAGAGCTGAACATGCCTTTTGATGGAGCAGTTTCCAAATACACTTTTGGTAGAATCTGCAGGTGGATATTTGGAGCTCTCTGAGGATTTCGTTGGAAACGGGAATAATTTCCCATAACTAAACACAAACACTCTGAGAAAGTTCTTCATGATGAATGCATTTAACTCGCAGAGATGAACCTGCCTTTGAGAGTTCAGGTTCGAAACACTCTTTCTGTAGAATCTGCAAGTGGATATTTGGACCACTGGGTGGCCTTCGTTCGAAACGGGTATATGTTCACGTAAAAACTAAAGAGAAGCATTCTCAGAAACTTCTGAGTGATGATTGCATTCAAGTCACACAGTTGAACCCTCCTTTTGATGGAGCAGTTTTGAAACTGTCTTTTTGTAGAATCTGTAAGTGGATACGTGGACCTCTTTGAAGATTTCCTTTGGAAACGGGAATATTTCCACAGAAAAACTAAACTGAAGCATTCTCAGAAACTGCTTTGTGATGTTTGTGTTCGAGCCACAGAGTTTAACATTGCTTTTCATAGAGCAGTTTTGAAATATTCTTTTGGCAGAATCTACAAGTGGACATTTGGAGCGCTTTCAGGCCTGTGGTGGAAAAGGCCTGAAAGCCTTTTCCTTTATCTTCACAGAAAGACGAGAGAGAAGCATTGTCAGAAACTTCTTTGTGATGATTGCATTCAACTCACAGAGTTGAAGATTCCTTTTGAAACAGCGGTTTCGAAACACTCTTTCTGTGGGATCCGCAAGGGGATATTTGGACCTCTTTGAAGGTTTCGTTGGAAACGGGATAATCTTCACCTAAAAGCTAAACGGAAACATTCTCAGAAACTTCTTTGGGATGTTTGCATTCACCTCACAGAGTTGAACTTTCCCTTTGATAGCGCAGCTTTGACACACTTTTTCTACAATGTGCAAGTGGCTATTTAGCGGGCTTGGAGGACTGTGTTGGAAAACGAAATATCTTCTCCTAAAAACGACATAGAAGCATTCTCAGAAACTGCTCTGTGATGATTGCATTCAACTCCCAGAGTTGAACATTCCTTTTGATAGAGCAGTTTGCAAACACTCTTTTTGTAGAATCTGCAAGTGGAGATTTGGACCGCTTTGAGGCCTGTGGTAGTGAAGGAAAGAACTTCATATAAAAACCAGACGGTAGCACTTTCAGAAAATTCTTTGTGACGATGGAGTTTAACTCAGGGAGCTGAACATTCGTTATGATGGAGCAGTTTCCAAACACACGTTTTGTAGAATCTGCAAGGGGATATTTGGACCTCTCTGAGGATTTCGTTGGAAACGGGATCAACTTCCCATAACTGAACGGAAGCAAACTCAGAACATTCTTTGTGATGTTTGTATTCAACTCACAGAGTTGAACCTTCCTTTGATAGTTCAGGTTTGCAACACCCTTGTAGTAGAATCTGCAAGTGTATATTTTGACCACTTTGTAGCCTTCGTTTGAAACGTCTATATCTTCACATCAAACCTAGACAGAAGCATTCTCAGAAAGTTTTCTGCGATGACTGCATTCAACTCACAGAGTTGAACAATCCTTCTGATGGAGCAGTTTTGAAACCCTCTTTCTTTGGAATCTGCAAGGGGATATGTGGACCTCTTTGAAGATTTCACTGGAAACGGGATCATCTTCACATAAAAACTAAACAGAAGCATTCTCGGAAACTACTTTGTGATGTTTGTATTCAACTCCCAGAGTTGAACTTTCCTTTTGAAAGAGCAGCTATGAAACACTCTTTTTCGAGAATCTGAAAGTGGACGTTTGGAGGGCTTTGAGGCCTGTGGTGGAAAAGGAAATATCTTCACATAAAAACTAGATAGAAGCATTCTCAGAAACGACATTGAGGATGGCATTCAACACATGGAGTTGGACAATCCTATTGATAGAGCAGATTGGAATCACTCTTTTTGTAGAATCTGCAAATGGAGATTTGGACTGCTTTGAGGCCTACGGTAGTATAGGAAGGAACTTCATATAAACGGCAAACGGAAGCATTCTCAGAATATTCTTTGTGATGATGGAGTTTCACTCACAGAGCTGAACATGCCTTTTGATGGAGCAGTTTCCAAATACACTTTTGGTAGAATCTGCAGGTGGATATTTGGAGCTCTCTGAGGATTTCGTTGGAAACGGGAATAATTTCCCATAACTAAACACAAACACTCTGAGAAAGTTCTTCATGATGAATGCATTTAACTCGCAGAGATGAACCTGCCTTTGAGAGTTCAGGTTCGAAACACTCTTTCTGTAGAATCTGCAAGTGGATATTTGGACCACTGGGTGGCCTTCGTTCGAAACGGGTATATGTTCACGTAAAAACTAAAGAGAAGCATTCTCAGAAACTTCTGAGTGATGATTGCATTCAAGTCACACAGTTGAACCCTCCTTTTGATGGAGCAGTTTTGAAACTGTCTTTTTGTAGAATCTGTAAGTGGATACGTGGACCTCTTTGAAGATTTCTTTGAAACGGGAATATTTCCACAGAAAAACTAAACTGAAGCATTCTCAGAAACTGCTTTGTGATGTTTGTGTTCGAGCCACAG
Organism: Homo sapiens; assembly: GCF_000001405.40. NCBI lineage: Eukaryota > Metazoa > Chordata > Mammalia > Primates > Hominidae > Homo > Homo sapiens. Next base: position 60,295,995 of record NC_000023.11, read on the forward strand.
AGTTTAACATTGCTTTTCATAGAGCAGTTTTGAAATATTCTTTTCACAGAATCTGCAAGTGGACATTTGGAGCGCTTTCAGGCCTGTGGTGGAAAAGGCCTGAAAGCCTTTTCCTTTATCTTCACAGAAAGACGAGAGAGAAGCATTGTCAGAAACTTCTTTGTGATGATTGCATTCAACTCACAGAGTTGAAGATTCCTTTTGAAACAGCAGTTTCGAAACACTCTTTCTGTGGGATCCGCAAGGGGATATTTGGACCTCTTTGAAGGTTTCGTTGGAAACGGGATAATCTTCACCTAAAAGCTAAACGGAAGCATTCTCAGAAACTTCTTTGGGATGTTTGCATTCACCTCACAGAGTTGAACTTTCCCTTTGATAGCGCAGCTTTGACACACTTTTTCTACAATGTGCAAGTGGCTATTTAGCGGGCTAGGAGGACTGTGTTGGAAAAGGAAATATCTTCTCCTAAAAACGACATAGAAGCATTCTCAGAAACTGCTCTGTAATGATTGCATTCAACTCCCAGAGTTGAACATTCCTTTTGATAGAGCAGTTTGCAAACACTCTTTTTGTAGAATCTGCAAGTGGAGATTTGGACCGCTTTGAGGCCTGTGGTAGTGAAGGAAAGAACTTCATATAAAAACCAGACGGTAGCACTCTCACAAAATTCTTTGTGACGATGGAGTTTAACTCAGGGAGCTGAACATTCGTTATGATGGAGCAGTTTCCAAACACACGTTTTGTAGAATCTGCGAGGGGATATTTGGACCTCTCTGAGGATTTCGTTGGAAACGGGATCAACTTCCCATAACTGAACGGAAGCAAACTCAGAACATTCTTTGTGATGTTTGTATTCAACTCACAGAGTTGAACCTTCCTTTGATAGTTCAGGTTTGCAACACCCTTGTAGTAGAATCTGCAAGTGTATATTTTGACCACTTTGTAGCCTTCGTTTGAAACGTCTATATCTTCACATCAAACCTAGACAGAAGCATTCTCAGAAAGTTTTCTGCGATGACTGCATTCAACTCACAGAGTTGAACAATCCTTTTGATGGAGCAGTTTTGAAACCCTCTTTCTTTGGAATCTGCAAGGGGATATGTGGACCTCTTTGAAGATTTCACTGGAAACGGGATCATCTTCACATAAAAACTAAACAGAAGCATTCTCGGAAACTACTTTGTGATGTTTGTATTCAACTCCCAGAGTTGGACTTTCCTTTTGAAAGAGCAGCTATGAAACACTCTTTTTCGAAAATCTGCAAGTGGACGTTTGGAGGGCTTTGAGGCCTGTGGTGGAAAAGGAAATATCTTCACATAAAAACTAGATAGAAGCATTCTCAGAAACGACTTTGTGAGGATGGCATTCAACTCATGGAGTTGAACAATCCTATTGATAGAGCAGATTGGAATCACTCTTTTTGTAGAATCTGCAAATGGAGATTTGGACTGCTTTGAGGCCTACGGTAGTACAGGAAGGAACTTCATATAAAAGGCAAACGGAAGCATTCTCAGAATATTCTTTGTGATGATGGAGTTTCACTCACAGAGCTGAACATGCCTTTTGATGGAGCAGTCTCCAAATACACTTTTGGTAGAATCTGCAGGTGGAAATTTTGACGTCTCTGAGGATTTCGTTGGAAAAGGGAATAATTTCCCATAACTAAACACAAACACGCTGAGAAAGTTCTTCATGATGAATGCATTGAACTCGCAGAGATGAAGCTGCCTTTGAGAGTTCAGGTTCGAAACACCTCTTTCTGTAGAATCTGACAAGTGGATATTTGGACCACTGGGTGGCCTTCGTTCGAAACGGGTATATGTTCACGTAAAAACTAAAGAGAAGCATTCTCAGAAACTTCTGAGTGATGATCGCTTTCAAGTCACATGGTTGAACCCTCCTTTTGATTGAGCAGTTTTGAAACTGTCTTTTTGTAGAATCTGTAAGTGGATACGTGGACCTCCTTGAAGATGTCTTTCGAAACGGGAATATTTCCACAGAAAAACTAAACGGAAGCATTCTCAGAAACTGCTTTGTGATGTTTGTGTTCGAGCCACAGAGTTTAACATTGCTTCTCATAGAGCAGTTTTGAAATATTCTTTTCGCAGAATCTGCAAGTGGACATTTGGAGCTCTTTCAGGCCTGTGGTGGAAAAGGCCTGAAAGCCTTTTCCTTTATCTTCACAGAAAGACGAGAGAGAAGCATTGTCAGAAACTTCTTTGTGATGATTGCATTCAACTCACAGAGTTGAAGATTCCTTTTGAAACAGCAGTTTCGAAACACTCTTTCTGTGGGATCCGCAAGGGGATATTTGGACCTCTTTGAAGATTTCGTTGGAAACGGGATAATCTTCACCTAAAAGCTAAACGGAAGCATTCTCAGAAACTTCTTTGGGATGTTTGCATTCACCTCACAGAGTTGAACTTTCCCTTTGATAGCGCAGCTTCGACACACTTTTTCTACAATGTGCAAGTGGATATTTAGCGGGCTTGGAGGACTGTGGTGGAAAGGGAAATATCTTCTCCTAAAAACCACATAGAAGCATTCTCAGAAACTGCTCTGTGATGATTGCATTCAACTCCCAGAGTTGAACATTCCTTTTGATAGAGCAGTTTGCAAACACTCTTTTTGTAGAATCTGCAAGTGGAGATTTGGACCGCTTTGAGGCCTGTGGTAGTAAAGGAAAGAACTTCATATAAAAACTAGACGGTAGCACTCTCAGAAAATTCTTTGTGACGATGGAGTTTAACTCAGAGAGCTGAACATTCGTTATGATGGAGCAGTTTCCAAACACACGTTTTGTAGAATCTGCAAGGGGATATTTGGACCTCTCTGAGGATTTCGTTGGAAACGGGATCAACTTCCCATAACTGAACGGAAGCAAACTCAGAACATTCTTTGTGATGTTTGTATTCAACTCACAGAGTTGAACCTTCCTTTGATAGTTCAGGTTTGCATCACCCTTGTAGTAGAATCTGCAAGTGTATATTTTGACCACTTAGTAGCCTTCGTTTGAAACGTCTATATCTTCACATCAAACCTAGACAGAAGCATTCTCAGAAAGTTTTCTGCGATGACTGCATTCAACTCACAGAGTTGAACACTCCTTTTGATGGAGCAGTTTTGAAACCCTCTTTCTTTGGAATCTGCAAGGGGATATGTGGACCTCTTTGAAGATTTCACTGGAAACGGGATCATCTTCACATAAGAACTAAACAGAAGCATTCTCGGAAACTACTTTGTGATGTTTGTATTCAACTCCCAGAGTTGAACTTTCCTTTTGAAAGAGCAGCTATGAAACACACTTTTTCGAGAATCTGCAAGTGGACGTTTGGAGGGCTTTGAGGCCTGTGGTGGAAAAGGAAATATCTTCACATGAAAACTAGATAGAAGCATTCTCAGAAAAGACTTTTTGAGGATGGCATTCAACTCATGGAGTTGAACAATCCTATTGATAGAGCAGATTGGAATCACTCTTTTTGTAGAATCTGCAAATGGAGATTTGGACTGCTTTGAGGCCTACGGTAGTATAGGAAGGAACTTCATATAAAAGGCAAACGGAAGCATTCTCAGAATATTCTTTGTGATGATGGAGTTTCACTCACAGAGCTGAACATGCCTTTTGATGGAGCAGTTTCCAAATACACTTTTGGTAGAATCTACAGGTGGATATTTGGACCTCTCTGAGGATTTCGTTGGAAACGGGAATAATTTCCAATAACTAAACACAAACACGCTGAGAAAGTTCTTCATGATGAATGCATTTAACTCGCAGAGATGAACCTGCCTTTGAGAGTTCAGGTTCGAAACACTCTTTCTGTAGAGTCTGCAAGTGGATATTTGGACCACTGGGTGGCCTTCGTTCGAAACGGGTATATGTTCACGTAAAAACTAAAGAGAAGCATTCTCAGAAACTTCTGAGTGATGATTGCATTCAAGTCACACAGTTGAACCCTCCTTTTGATTGAGCAGTTTTGAAACTGTCTTTTTGTAGAATCTGTAAGTGGATGCGTGGACCTCTTTGAAGATTTCTTTGGAAACGGGAATATTTCCACAGAAAAACTAAACTGAATCATTCTCAGAAACTGCTTTGTGATGTTTGTGTTCGAGCCACAGAGTTTAACATTGCTTTTCATAGAGCAGTTTTGAAATATTCTTTTGGCAGAATCTGCAAGTGGACATTTGGAGCGCTTTCAGGCCTGTGGTGGAAAAGGCCTGAAAGCCTTTTCCTTTATCTTCACAGAAAGACGAGAGAGAAGCATTGTCAGAAACTTCTTTGTGATGATTGCATTCAACTCACAGAGTTGAAGATTCCTTCTGAAACAGCAGTTTCAAAACACTCTTTCTGTGGGATCCGCAAGGGGATATTTGGACCTCTTTGAAGATTTCGTTGGAAACGGGATAATCTTCACCTAAAAGCTAAACGGAAGCATTCTCAGAAACTTCTTTGGGATGTTTGCATTCACCTCACAGAGTTGAACTTTCCCTTTGATAGCGCAGCTTCGACACACTTTTTTTACAATGTGCAAGTGGATATTTAGCGGGCTTGGAGGACTGTGTTGGAAAAGGAAATATCTTCTCCTAAAAACGACATAGAAGCATTCTCAGAAACTGCTCTGTGATGATTGCATTCAACTCCCAGAGTTGAACATTCCTTTTGATAGAGCAGTTTGCAAACACTCTTTTTGTAGAATCTGCAAGTGGAGATTTGGACCGCTTTGAGGCCTGTGGTAGTAAAGGGAAGAACTTCATATAAAAACCAGACGGTAGCACTCTCAGAAAATTCTTTGTGACGATGGAGTTTAACTCAGAGAGCTGAACATTCGTTATGATGGAGCAGTTTCCAAACACACGTTTTGTAGAATCTGCAAGGGGATATTTGGACCTCTCTGAGGATTTCGTTGGAAACGGGATCAACTTCCCATAACTGAACGGAAGCAAACTCAGAACATTCTTTGTGATGTTTGTATTCAACTCACAGAGTTGAACCTTCCTTTGATAGTTGAGGTTTGCAACACCCTTGTAGTAGAATCTGCAAGTGTATATTTTGACCACTTTGTAGCCTTCGTTTGAAACGTCTATATCTTCACCACCAACCTAGACAGAAGCATTCTCAGAAAGTTTTCTGCGATGACTGCATTCAACTCACAGAGTTGAACAATCCTTTTGATGGAGCAGTTTTGAAACCCTCTTTCTTTGGAATCTGCAAGGGGATATGTGGACCTCTTTGAAGATTTCACTGGAAACGGGATCATCTTCACATAAGAACTAAACAGAAGCATTCTCGGAAACTACTTTGTGATGTTTGTATTCAACTCCCAGAGTTGAACTTTCCTTTTGAAAGAGCGGCTATGAAACACTCTTTTTCGAGAATCTGCAAGTGGACGTTTTGAGGGCCTTGAGGCCTGTGGTGGAAAAGGAAATATCTTCACATAAAAACTAGATAGAAGCATTCTCAGAAACGACTTTGTGAGGATGGCATTCAACTCATGGAGTTGAACAATCCTATTGATAGAGCAGATTGGAATCACTCTTTTGGTAGAATCTGCAAATGGAGATTTGGACTGCTTTGAGGCCTACGGTAGTATAGGAAGGAACTTCATATAAAAGGCAAACGGAAGCATTCTCAGAATATTCTTTGTGATGATGGAGTTTCACTCACAGAGCTGAACATGCCTTTTGATGGAGCAGTTTCCAAATACACTTTTGGTAGAATCTGCAGGTGGATATTTGGACCTCTCTGAGGATTTCGTTGGAAACGGGAATAATTTCCCATACCTAAACACAAACACTCTGAGAAAGTTCTTCATGATGAATGCATTGAACTCGCAGAGATGAACCTGCCTTTGAGAGTTCAGGTTCGAAACACTCTTTCTGTAGAATCTGCAAGTGGATAATTGGACCACTGGGTGGCCTTCGTTCGAAACGGGTATATGTTCACGTAAAAACTAAAGAGAAGCATTCTCAGAAACTTCTGCGTGATGATTGCATTCAAGTCACACGGTTGAACCCTCCTTTTGATTGAGCAGTTTTGAAACTGTCTTTTTGTAGAATCTGTAAGCGGGTACGTGGACCTCTTTGAAGATTTCTTTGGAAACGGGAATATTTCCACAGAAAAACTAAACTGAAGCATTCTCAGAAACTGCTTTGTGATGTTTGTGTTCGAGCCGCAGAGTTTAACATTGCTTTTCATAGAGCAGTTTTGAAATATTCTTTTGGCAGAATCTGCAAGTGGACATTTGGAGCGCTTTCAGGCCTGTGGGTGGAAAAGGCCTGAAAGCCTTTTCCTTTATCTTCACAGAAAGACGAGAGAGAAGCATTGTCAGAAACTTCTTTGTGATGATTGCATTCAACTCACAGAGTTGAAGATTCCTTTTGAAACAGCAGTTTCGAAACACTCTTTCTGTGGGAACCGCAAGGGGATATTTGGATCTATTTGAAGGTTTCGTTGGAAACTGGATAATCTTCACCTAAAAGCTAAACGGAAGCATTCTCAGAAACTTCTTTGGGATGTTTGCATTCACCTCACAGAGTTGAACTTTCCCTTTGATAGCGCAGCTTTGACACACTTTTTCTACAATGTGCAAGTGGCTATTTAGCGGGCTTGGAGGACTGTGTTGGAAAAGGAAATATCTTCTCCTAAAAACGACAAAGAAGCATTCTCAGAAACTGCTCTGTGATGATTGCATTCAACTCCCAGAGTTGAACATTCCTTTTGATAGAGCAGTTTGCAAACACTCTTTTTGTAGAATCTGCAAGTGGAGATTTGGACCGCTTTGAGGCCTGTGGTAGTGAAGGAAAGAACTTCATATAAAAACCAGACGGTAGCACTCTCAGAAAATTCTTTGTGACGATGGAGTTTAACTCAGGGAGCTGAACATTCGTTATGATGGAGCAGTTTCCAAACACACGTTTTGTAGAATCTGCAAGGGGATATTTGGACCTCTCTGAGGATTTCGTTGGAAACGGGATCAACTTCCCATAACTGAACGGAAGCAAACTCAGAACATTCTTTGTGATGTTTGTATTCAACTCACAGAGTTGAACCTTCCTTTGATAGTTCAGGTTTGCAACACCCTTGTAGTAGAATCTGCAAGTGTATATTTTGACCACTTTGTAGCCTTCGTTTGAAACGTCTATATCTTCACATCAAACCTAGACAGAAGCATTCTCAGAAAGTTTTCTGCGATGACTGCATTCAACTCACAGAGTTGAACAATCCTTCTGATGGAGCAGTTTTGAAACCCTCTTTCTTTGGAATCTGCAAGGGGATATGTGGACCTCTTTGAAGATTTCACTGGAAACGGGATCATCTTCACATAAAAACTAAACAGAAGCATTCTCGGAAACTACTTTGTGATGTTTGTATTCAACTCCCAGAGTTGAACTTTCCTTTTGAAAGAGCAGCTATGAAACACTCTTTTTCGAGAATCTGCAAGTGGACGTTTTGAGGGCTTTGAGGCCTGTGGTGGAAAAGGAAATATCTTCACATAAAAACTAGATAGAAGCATTCTCAGAAACTACTTTGTGAGGATGGCATTCAACTCATGGAGTTGAACAATCCTATTGATAGAGCAGATTGGAATCACTCTTTTTGTAGAATCTGCAAATGGAGATTTGGACTGCTTTGAGGCCTACGGTAGTATAGGAAGGAACTTCATATAAAAGGCAAACGGAAGCATTCTCAGAATATTCTTTGTGATGATGGAGTTTCACTCACAGAGCTGAACATGCCTTTTGATGGAGCAGTTTCCAAATACACTTTTGGTAGAATCTGCAGGTGGATATTTGGAGCTCTCTGAGGATTTCGTTGGAAACGGGAATAATTTCCCATAACTAAACACAAACACTCTGAGAAAGTTCTTCATGATGAATGCATTTAACTCGCAGAGATGAACCTGCCTTTGAGAGTTCATGTTCGAAACACTCTTTCTGTAGAATCTGCAAGTGGATATTTGGACCACTGGCTGGCCTTCGTTCGAAACGGGTATATGTTCACGTAAAAACTAAAGAGAAGCATTCTCAGAAACTTCTGAGTGATGATTGCATTCAAGTCACACAGTTGAACCCTCCTTTTGATGGAGCAGTTTTGAAACTGTCTTTTTGTAGAATCTGTAAGTGGATACGTGGACCTCTTTGAAGATTTCTTTGGAAACGGGAATATTTCCACAAAAAAACTAAACTGAAGCATTCTCAGAAACCGCTTTGTGATGTTTGTGTTCGAGTCACAGAGTTTAACATTGCTTTTCATAGAGCAGTTTTGAAATATTCTTTTGGCAGAATCTGCAAGTGGACATTTGGAGCGCTTTCAGGCCTGTGGTGGAAAAGGCCTGAAAGCCTTTTCCTTTACCTTCACAGAAAGACGAGAGAGAAGCATTGTCAGAAACTTCTTTGTGATGATTGCATTCAACTCACAGAGTTGAAGATTCCTTTTGAAACAGCAGTTTCGAAACACTCTTTCTGTGGGATCCGCAAGGGGATATTTGGACCTCTTTGAAGGTTTCGTTGGAAACGGGATAATCTTCACCTAAAAGCTAAACGGAAGCATTCTCAGAAACTTCTTTGGGATGTTTGCATTCACCTCACAGAGTTGAACTTTCCCTTTGATAGCGCAGCTTTGACACACTTTTTCTACAACGTGCAAGTGGCTATTTAGCGGGCTTGGAGGACTGTGTTGGAAAAGGAAATATCTTCTCCTAAAAACGACATAGAAGCATTCTCAGAAACTGCTCTGTGATGATTGCATTCAACTCCCAGAGTTGAACATTCCTTTTGATAGAGCAGTTTGCAAACACTCTTTTTGTAGAATCTGCAAGTGGAGATTTGGACCGCTTTGAGGCCTGTGGTAGTGAAGGAAAGAACTTCATATAAAAACCAGACGGTAGCACTCTCAGAAAATTCTTTGTGACGATGGAGTTTAACTCCGGGAGCTGAACATTCGTTATGATGGAGCAGTTTCCAAACACACGTTTTGTAGAATCTGCGAGGGGATATTTGGACCTCTCTGAGGATTTCGTTGGAAACGGGATCAACTTCCCATAACTGAACGGAAGCAAACTCAGAACATTCTTTGTGATGTTTGTATTCAACTCACAGAGTTGAACCTTCCTTTGATAGTTCAGGTTTGCAACACCCTTGTAGTAGAATCTGCAAGTGTATATTTTGACCACTTTGTAGCCTTCGTTTGAAACGTCTATATCTTCACATCAAACCTAGACAGAAGCATTCTCAGAAAGTTTTCTGCGATGACTGCATTCAACTCACAGAGTTGAACAATCCTTCTGATGGAGCAGTTTTGAAACCCTCTTTCTTTGGAATCTGCAAGGGGATATGTGGACCTCTTTGAAGATTTCACTGGAAACGGGATCATCTTCACATAAAAACTAAACAGAAGCATTCTCGGAAACTACTTTGTGATGTTTGTATTCAACTCCCAGAGTTGAACTTTCCTTTTGAAAGAGCAGCTATGAAACACTCTTTTTCGAGAATCTGCAAGTGGACGTTTGGAGGGCTTTGAGGCCTGTGGTGGAAAAGGAAATATCTTCACATAAAAACTAGATAGAAGCATTCTCAGAAACGACTTTGTGAGGATGGCATTCAACTCATGGAGTTGAACAATCCTATTGATAGAGCAGATTGGAATCACTCTTTTTGTAGAATCTGCAAATGGAGATTTGGACTGCTTTGAGGCCTACGGTCGTATAGGAAGGAACTTCATATAAAAGGCAAACGGAAGCATTCTCAGAATATTCTTTGTGATGATGGAGTTTCACTCACAGAGCTGAACATGCCTTTTGATGGAGCAGTTTCCAAATACACTTTTGGTAGAATCTGCAGGTGGATATTTGGAGCTCTCTGAGGATTTCGTTGGAAACGGGAATAATTTCCCATAACTAAACACAAACACTCTGAGAAAGTTCTTCATGATGAATGCATTTAACTCGCAGAGATGAACCTGCCTTTGAGAGTTCAGGTTCGAAACACTCTTTCTGTAGAATCTGCAAGTGGATATTTGGACCACTGGGTGGCCTTCGTTCGAAACGGGTATATGTTCACGTAAAAACTAAAGAGAAGCATTCTCAGAAACTTCTGAGTGATGATTGCATTCAAGTCACACAGTTGAACCCTCCTTTTGATTGAGCAGTTTTGAAACTGTCTTTTTGTAGAATCTGTAAGTGGATACGTGGACCTCTTTGAAGATTTCTTTGGAAACGGGAATATTTCCACAGAAAAACTAAACTGAAGCATTCTCAGAAACTGCTTTGTGATGTTTGTGTTCGAGCCGCCAAGTTTAACATTGCTTTTCATAGAGCAGTTTTGAAATATTCTTTTGGCAGAATCTGCAAGTGGACATTTGGAGCGCTTTCAGGCCTGTGGTGGAAAAGGCCTGAAAGCCTTTTCCTTTATCTTCACAGAAAGACGAGAGAGAAGCATTGTCGGAAACTTCTTTGAGATGATTGCATTCAACTCACAGAGTTGAAGATTCCTTTTGAAACAGCAGTTTCGAAACACTCTTTCTGTGGGATCCGCAAGGGGATATTTGGACCTCTTTGAAGATATCGTTGGAAACGGGATAATCTTCACCTAAAAGCTAAACGGAAGCATTCTCAGAAACTTCTTTGGGATGTTTGCATTCACCTCACAGAGTTGAACTTTCCCTTTGATAGCGCAGCTTTGACACACTTTTTCTACAATGTGCAAGTGGCTATTTAGCGGGCTTGGAGGACTGTGTTGGAAAAGGAAATATCTTCTCCTAAAAACGACATAGAAGCATTCTCAGAAACTGCTCTGTGATGATTGCATTCAACTCCCAGAGTTGAACATTCCTTTTGATAGAGCAGTTTGCAAACACTCTTTTTGTAGAATCTGCAAGTGGAGATTTGGACCGCTTTGAGGTCTGTGGTAGTGAAGGAAAGAACTTCATATAAAAACCAGACGGTAGCACTCTCAGAAAATTCTTTGTGACGATGGAGTTTAACTCAGGGAGCTGAACATTCGTTATGATGGAGCAGTTTCCAAACACACGTTTTGTAGAATCTGCAAGGGGATATTTGGACCTCTCTGAGGATTTCGTTGGAAACGGGATCAACTTCCCATAACTGAACGGAAGCAAACTCAGAACATTCTTTGTGATGTTTGTATTCAACTCACAGAGTTGAACCTTCCTTTGATAGTTCAGGTTTGCAACACCCTTGTAGTAGAATCTGCAAGTGTATATTTTGACCACTTTGTAGCCTTCGTTTGAAACGTCTATATCTTCACATCAAACCTAGACAGAAGCATTCTCAGAAAGTTTTCTGCGATGACTGCATTCAACTCACAGAGTTGAACAATCCTTCTGATGGAGCAGTTTTGAAACCCTCTTTCTTTGGAATCTGCAAGGGGATATGTGGACCTCTTTGAAGATTTCACTGGAAACGGGATCATCTTCACATAAAAACTAAACAGAAGCATTCTCGGAAACTATTTTGTGATGTTTGTATTCAACTCCCAGAGTTGAACTTTCCTTTTGAAAGAGCAGCTATGAAACACTCTTTTTCGAGAATCTGCAAGTGGACGTTTGGAGGGCTTTGAGGCCTGTGGTGGAAAAGGAAATATCTTCACACAAAAACCAGATAGAAGCATTCTCAGAAACGACTTTGTGAGGATGGCATTCAACTCATGGAGTTGAACAATCCTATTGATAGAGCAGATTGGAATCACTCTTTTTGTAGAATCTGCAAATGGAGATTTGGACTGCTTTGAGGCCTACGGTCGTATAGGAAGGAACTTCAGATAAAAGGCAAACGGAAGCATTCTCAGAATATTCTTTGTGATGATGGAGTTTCACTCACAGAGCTGAACATGCCTTTTGATGGAGCAGTTTCCAAATACACTTTTGGTAGAATCTGCAGGTGGATATTTGGAGCTCTCTGAGGATTTCGTTGGAAACGGGAATAATTTCCCATAACTAAACACAAACACTCTGAGAAAGTTCTTCATGATGAATGCATTTAACTCGCAGAGATGAACCTGCCTTTGAGAGTTCAGGTTCGAAACACTCTTTCTGTAGAATCTGCAAGTGGATATTTGGACCACTGGCTGGCCTTCGTTCGAAACGGGTATATGTTCACGTAAAAACTAAAGAGAAGCATTCTCAGAAACTTGTGAGTGATGATTGCATTCAAGTCACACAGTTGAACCCTCCTTTTGATGGAGCAGTTTTGAAACTGTCTTTTTGTAGAATCTGTAAGTGGATACGTGGACCTCTTTGAAGATTTCTTTGGAAACGGGAATATTTCCACAGAAAAACTAAACTGAAGCATTCTCAGAAACCGCTTTGTGATGTTTGTGTTCGAGCCACAGAGTTTAACATTGCTTTTCATAGAGCAGTTTTGAAATATTCTTTTGGCAGAATCTGCAAGTGGACATTTGGAGCGCTTTCAGGCCTGTGGTGGAAAAGGCCTGAAAGCCTTTTCCTTTATCTTCACAGAAAGACGAGAGAGAAGCATTGTCAGAAACTTCTTTGTGATGATTGCATTCAACTCACAGAGTTGAAGATTCCTTTTGAAACAGCAGTTTCGAAACACTCTTTCTGTGGGATCCGCAAGGGGATATTTGGACCTCTTTGAAGGTTTCGTTGGAAACGGGATAATCTTCACCTAAAAGCTAAACGGAAGCATTCTCAAAAACTTCTTTGGGATGTTTGCTTTCACCTCACAGAGTTGAACTTTCCCTTTGATAGCGCAGCTTTGACACACTTTTTCTACAATGTGCAAGTGGCTATTTAGCGGGCTTGGAGGACTGTGTTGGAAAAGGAAATATCTTCTCCTAAAAACGACATAGAAGCATTCTCAGAAACTGCTCTGTGATGATTGCATTCAACTCCCAGAGTTGAACATTCCTTTTGATAGAGCAGTTTGCAAACACTCTTTTTGTAGAATCTGCAAGTGGAGATTTGGACCGCTTTGAGGTCTGTGGTAGTGAAGGAAAGAGCTTCATATAAAAACCAGACGGTAGCACTCTCAGAAAATTCTTTGTGACGATGGAGTTTAACTCAGGGAGCTGAACATTCGTTATGATGGAGCAGTTTCCAAACACACGTTTTGTAGAATCTGCAAGGGGATATTTGGACCTCTCTGAGGATTTCGTTGGAAACGGGATCAACTTCCCATAACTGAACGGAAGCAAACTCAGAACATTCTTTGTGATGTTTGTATTCAACTCACAGAGTTGAACCTTCCTTTGATAGTTCAGGTTTGCAACACCCTTGTAGTAGAATCTGCAAGTGTATATTTTGACCACTTTGTAGCCTTCGTTTGAAACGTCTATATCTTCACATCAAACCTAGACAGAAGCATTCTCAGAAAGTTTTCTGCGATGACTGCATTCAACTCACAGAGTTGAACAATCCTTCTGATGGAGCAGTTTTGAAACCCTCTTTCTTTGGAATCTGCAAGGGGATATGTGGACCTCTTTGAAGATTTCACTGGAAACGGGATCATCTTCACATAAAAACTAAACAGAAGCATTCTCGGAAACTACTTTGTGATGTTTGTATTCAACTCCCAGAGTTGAACTTTCCTTTTGAAAGAGCAGCTATGAAACACTCCTTTTCGAGAATCTGCAAGTGGACGTTTGGAGGTCTTTGAGGCCTGTGGTGGAAAAGGAAATATCTTCACATAAAAACTAGATAGAAGCATTCTCAGAAACTACTTTGTGAGGATGGCATTCAACTCATGGAGTTGAACAATCCTATTGATAGAGCAGATTGGAATCACTCTTTTTGTAGAATCTGCAAATGGAGATTTGGACTGCTTTGAGGCCTACGGTAGTACAGGAAGGAACTTCATATAAAAGGCAAACGGAAGCATTCTCAGAATATTCTTTGTGATGATGGAGTTTCACTCACAGAGCTGAACATGCCTTTTGATGGAGCAGTTTCCAAATACACTTTTGGTAGAATCTGCAGGTGGATATTTGGAGCTCTCTGAGGATTTCTTTGGAAACGGGAATAATTTCCCATAACTAAACACAAATACTCTGAGAAAGTTCTTCATGATGAATGCATTTAACTCGCAGAGATGAACCTGCCTTTGAGAGTTCAGGTTCGAAACACTCTTTCTGTAGAATCTGCAAGTGGATATTTGGACCACTGGGTGGCCTTCGTTCGAAACGGGTATATGTTCACGTAAAAACTAAAGAGAAGCATTCTCAGAAACTTCTGAGTGATGATTGCATTGAAGTCACACAGTTGAACCCTCCTTTTGATGGAGCAGTTTTGAAACTGTCTTTTTGTAGAATCTGTAAGTGGATACGTGGACCTCTTTGAAGATTTCTTTGGAAACGGGAATATTTCCACAGAAAAACTAAACTGAAGCATTCTCAGAAACCGCTTTGTGATGTTTGTGTTCGAGCCGCAGAGTTTAACATTGCTTTTCATAGAGCAGTTTTGAAATATTCTTTTGGCAGAATCTGCAAGTGGACATTTGGACCGCTTTCAGGCCTGTGGTGGCAAAGGCCTGAAAGCCTTTTCCTTTATCTTCACAGAAAGACGAGAGAGAAGCATTGTCAGAAACTTCTTTGTGATGATTGCATTCAACTCACAGAGTTGAAGATTCCTTTTGAAACAGCAGTTTCGAAACACTCTTTCTGTGGGATCCGCAAGGGGATATTTGGACCTCTTTGAAGGTTTCGTTGGAAACGGGATAATCTTCACCTAAAAGCTAAACGGAAGCATTCTCAGAAACTTCTTTGGGATGTTTGCATTCACCTCACAGAGTTGAACTTTCCCTTTGATAGCGCAGCTTCGACACACTTTTTCTACAATGTGCAAGTGGCTATTTAGCGGGCTTGGAGGACTGTGTTGGAAAAGGAAATATCTTCTCCTAAAAACGACATAGAAGCATTCTCAGAAACTGCTCTGTGATGATTGCATTCAACTCCCAGAGTTGAACATTCCTTTTGATAGAGCAGTTTGCAAACACTCTTTTTGTAGAATCTGCAAGTGGAGATTTGGACCGCTTTGAGGCCTGTGGTAGTGAAGGAAAGAACTTCATATAAAAACCAGACGGTAGCACTATCAGAAAATTCTTTGTGACGATGGAGTTTAACTCAGGGAGCTGAACATTCGTTATGATGGAGCAGTTTCCAAACACACGTTTTGTAGAATCTGCGAGGGGATATTTGGACCTCTCTGAGGATTTCGTTGGAAACGGGATCAACTTCCCATAACTGAACGGAAGCAAACTCAGAACATTCTTTGTGATGTTTGTATTCAACTCACAGAGTTGAACCTTCCTTTGATAGTTCAGGTTTGCAACACCCTTGTAGTAGAATCTGCAAGTGTATATTTTGACCACTTTGTAGCTTTCGTTTGAAACGTCTATATCTTCACATCAAACCTAGACAGAAGCATTCTCAGAAAGTTTTCTGCGATGACTGCATTCAACTCACAGAGTTGAACAATCCTTTTGATGGAGCAGTTTTGAAACCCTCTTTCTTTGGAATCTGCAAGGGGATATGTGGACCTCTTTGAAGATTTCACTGGAAACGGGATCATCTTCACATAAAAACTAAACAGAAGCATTCTCGGAAACTACTTTGTGATGTTTGTATTCAACTCCCAGAGTTGAACTTTCCTTTTGAAAGAGCAGCTTTGAAACACTCTTTTTCGAGAATCTGCAAGTGGACGTTTGGAGGGCTTTGAGGCCTGTGGTGGAAAAGGAAATATCTTCACATAAAAACTAGAAAGAAGCATTCTCAGAAACGACTTTGTGAGGATGGCATTCAACTCATGGAGTTGAACAATCCTATTGATAGAGCAGATTGGAATCACTCTTTTTGTAGAATCTGCAAATGGAGATTTGGACTGCTTTGAGGCCTACGGTCGTATAGGAAGGAACTTCATATAAAAGGCAAATGGAAGCATTCTCAGAATATTCTTTGTGATGATGGAGTTTCACTCACAGAGCTGAACATGCCTTTTGATGGAGCAGTTTCCAAATACACTTTTGGTAGAATCTGCAGGTGGATATTTGGAGCTCTCTGAGGATTTCGTTGGAAACGGGAATAATTTCCCATAACTAAACACAAACACTCTGAGAAAGTTCTTCATGATGAATGCATTTAACTCGCAGAGATGAACCTGCCTTTGAGAGTTCAGGTTCGAAACACTCTTTCTGTAGAATCTGCAAGTGGATATTTGGACCACTGGCTGGCCTTCGTTCGAAACGGGTATATGTTCACGTAAAAACTAAAGAGAAGCATTCTCAGAAACTTCTGAGTGATGATTGCATTCAAGTCACACAGTTGAACCCTCCTTTTGATGGAGCAGTTTTGAAACTGTCTTTTTGTAGAATCTGTAAGTGGATACGTGGACCTCTTTGAAGATTTCTTTGGAAACGGGAATATTTCCACAGAAAAACTAAACTGAAGCATTCTCAGAAACCGCTTTGTGATGTTTGTGTTCGAGCCACAGAGTTTAACATTGCTTTTCATAGAGCAGTTTTGAAATATTCTTTTGGCAGAATCTGCAAGTGGACATTTGGAGCGCTTTCAGGCCTGTGGTGGAAAAGGCCTGAAAGCCTTTTCCTTTATCTTCACAGAAAGACGAGAGAGAAGCATTGTCAGAAACTTCTTTGTGATGATTGCATTCAACTCACAGAGTTGAAGATTCCTTTTGAAACAGCAGTTTCGAAACACTCTTTCTGTGGGATCCGCAAGGGGATATTTGGACCTCTTTGAAGGTTTCGTTGGAAACGGGATAATCTTCACCTAAAAGCTAAACGGAAGCATTCTCAGAAACTTCTTTGGGATGTTTGCATTCACCTCACAGAGTTGAACTTTCCCTTTGATAGCGCAGCTTTGACACACTTTTTCTACAATGTGCAAGTGGCTATTTAGCGGGCTTGGAGGATTGTGTTGGAAAAGGAAATATCTTCTCCTAAAAACGACATAGAAGCATTCTCAGAAACTGCTCTGTGATGATTGCATTCAACTCCCAGAGTTGAACATTCCTTTTGATAGAGCAGTTTGCAAACACTCTTTTTGTAGAATCTGCAAGTGGAGATTTGGACCGCTTTGAGGCCTGTGGTAGTGAAGGAAAGAACTTCATATAAAAACCAGACGGTAGCACTCTCAGAAAATTCTTTGTGACGATGGAGTTTAACTCAGGGAGCTGAACATTCGTTATGATGGAGCAGTTTCCAAACACACTTTTTGTAGAATCTGCAAGGGGATATTTGGACCTCTCTGAGGATTTCGTTGGAAACGGGATCAACTTCCCATAACTGAACGGAAGCAAACTCAGAACATTCTTTGTGATGTTTGTATTCAACTCACAGAGTTGAACCTTCCTTTGATAGTTCAGGTTTGCAACACCCTTGTAGTAGAATCTGCAAGTGTATATTTTGACCACTTTGTAGCCTTCGTTTGAAACATCTATATCTTCACATCAAACCTAGACAGAAGCATTCTCAGAAAGTTTTCTGCGATGACTGCATTCAACTCACAGAGTTGAACAATCCTTCTGATGGAGCAGTTTTTAAACCCTCTTTCTTTGGAATCTGCAAGGGGATATGTGGACCTCTTTGAAGATTTCACTGGAAACGGGATCATCTTCACATAAAAACTAAACAGAAGCATTCTCGGAAACTATTTTGTGATGTTTGTATTCAACTCCCAGAGTTGAACTTTCCTTTTGAAAGAGCAGCTATGAAACACTCTTTTTCGAGAATCTGCAAGTGGACGTTTGGAGGGCTTTGAGGCCTGTGGTGGAAAAGGAAATATCTTCACATAAAAACTAGATAGAAGCATTCTCAGAAGCGACTTTGTGAGGATGGCATTCAACTCATGGAGTTGAACAATCCTATTGATACAGCAGATTGGAATCACTCTTTTTGTAGAATGTGCAAATGGAGATTTGGACTGCTTTGAGGCCTACGGTAGTACAGGAAGGAACTTCATATAAAAGGCAAACGGAAGCATTCTCAGAATATTCTTTGTGATGATGGAGTTTCACTGACAGAGCTGAACATGCCTTTTGATGGAGCAGTTTCCAAATACACTTTTGGTAGAATCTGCAGGTGGATATTTGGAGCTCTTTGAGGATTTCGTTGGAAACGGGAATAATTTCCCATAACTAAACACAAACACGCTGAGAAAGTTCTTCATGATGAATGCATTTAACTCGCAGAGATGAACCTGCCTTTGAGAGTTCAGTTTCGAAACACTCTTTCTGTAGAATCTGCAAGTGGATATTTGGACCACTGGGTGGCCTTCGTTCGAAACGGGTATATGTTCACGTAAAAACTAAAGAGAAGCATTCTCAGAAACTTCTGAGTGATGATTGCATTCAAGTCACACGGTTGAACCCTCCTTTTGATGGAGCAGTTTTGAAACTGTCTTTTTGTAGAATCTGTAAGTGGATACGTGGACCTCTTTGAAGATTTCTTTGGAAACGGGAATATTTCCACAGAAAAACTAAACTGAAGCATTGTCAGAAACTTCTTTGTGATGATTGCATTCAACTCACAGAGTTGAAGATTCCTTTTGAAACAGCAGTTTCGAAACACTCTTTCTGTGGGATCCGCAAGGGGATATTTGGACCTCTTTGAAGGTTTCGTTGGAAACGGGATAATCTTCACCTAAAAGCTAAACGGAAGCATTCTCAGAAACTTCTTTGGGATGTTTGCATTCACCTCACAGAGTTGAACTTTCCCTTTGATAGCGCAGCTTTGACACACTTTTTCTACAATGTGCAAGTGGCTATTTAGCGGGCTTGGAGGACTGTGTTGGAAAAGGAAATATCTTCTCCTAAAAACGACATAGAAGCATTCTCAGAAACTGCTCTGTGATGATTGCATTCAACTCCCAGAGTTGAACATTCCTTTTGATAGAGCAGTTTGCAAACACTCTTTTTGTAGAATCTGCAAGTGGAGATTTGGACCGCTTTGAGGCCTGTGGTAGTGAAGGAAAGAGCTTCATATAAAAACCAGACGGTAGCACTCTCAGAAAATTCTTTGTGACGATGGAGTTTAACTCAGGGAGCTGAACATTCGTTATGATGGAGCAGTTTCCAAACACACGTTTTGTAGAATCTGCAAGGGGATATTTGGACCTCTCTGAGGATTTCGTTGGAAACGGGATCAACTTCCCATAACTGAACGGAAGCAAACTCAGAACATTCTTTGTGATGTTTGTATTCAACTCACAGAGTTGAACCTTCCTTTGATAGTTCAGGTTTGCAACACCCTTGTAGTAGAATCTGCAAGTGTATATTTTGACCACTTTGTAGCCTTCGTTTGAAACGTCTATATCTTCACATCAAACCTAGAAAGAAGCATTCTCAGAAAGTTTTCTGCGATGACTGCATTCAACTCACAGAGTTGAACAATCCTTCTGATGGAGCAGTTTTGAAACCCTCTTTCTTTGGAATCTGCAAGGGGATATGTGGACCTCTTTGAAGATTTCACTGGAAACGGGATCATCTTCACATAAAAACTAAACAGAAGCATTCTCGGAAACTACTTTGTGATGTTTGTATTCAACTCCCAGAGTTGAACTTTCCTTTTGAAAGAGCAGCTATGAAACACTCTTTTTCGAGAATCTGCAAGTGGACGTTTGGAAGGCTTTGAGGCCTGTGGTGGAAAAGGAAATATCTTCACATAAAAACTAGATAGAAGCATTCTCAGAAACGACTTTGTGAGGATGGCATTCAACTCATGGAGTTGAACAATCCTATTGATAGAGCAGATTGGAATCACTCTTTTTGTAAAATCTGCAAATGGAGATTTGGACTGCTTTGAGGCCTACGGTCGTATAGGAAGGAACTTCAGATAAAAGGCAAACGGAAGCATTCTCAGAATATTCTTTGTGATGATGGAGTTTCACTCACAGAGCTGAACATGCCTTTTGATGGAGCAGTTTCCAAATACACTTTTGGTAGAATCTGCAGGTGGATATTTGGAGCTCTCTGAGGATTTCGTTGGAAACGGGAATAATTTCCCATAACTAAACACAAACACTCTGAGAAAGTTCTTCATGATGAATGCATTTAACTCGCAGAGATGAACCTGCCTTTGAGAGTTCAGGTTCGAAACACTCTTTCTGTAGAATCTGCAAGTGGATATTTGGACCACTGGTTGGCCTTCGTTCGAAACGGGTATATGTTCACGTAAAAACTAAAGAGAAGCATTCTCAGAAACTTCTGAGTGATGATTGCATTCAAGTCACACAGTTGAACCCTCCTTTTGATGGAGCAGTTTTGAAACTGTCTTTTTGTAGAATCTGTAAGTGGATACGTGGACCTCTTTGAAGATTTCTTTGGAAACGGGAATATTTCCACAGAAAAACTAAACTGAAGCATTCTCAGAAACCGCTTTGTGATGTTTGTGTTCGAGCCACAGAGTTTAACATTGCTTTTCATAGAGCAGTTTTGAAATATTCTTTTCGCAGAATCTGCAAGTGGACATTTGGAGCGCTTTCAGGCCTGTGGTGGAAAAGGCCTGAAAGCCTTTTCCTTTATCTTCACAGAAAGACGAGAGAGAAGCATTGTCAGAAACTTCTTTGTGATGATTGCATTCAACTCACAGAGTTGAAGATTCCTTTTGAAACAGCAGTTTTGAAACACTCTTTCTGTGGGATCCGCAAGGGGATATTTGGACCTCTTTGAAGGTTTCGTTGGAAACGGGATAATCTTCACCTAAAAGCTAAACGGAAGCATTCTCAGAAACTTCTTTGGGATGTTTGCATTCACCTCACAGAGTTGAACTTTCCCTTTGATAGCGCAGCTTTGACACACTTTTTCTACAATGTGCAAGTAGCTATTTAGCGGGCTTGGAGGACTGTGTTGGAAAAGGAATTATCTTCTCCTAAAAACGACATAGAAGCATTCTCAGAAACTGCTCTGTGATGATTGCATTCAACTCCCAGAGTTGAACATTCCTTTTGATAGAGCAGTTTGCAAACACTCTTTTTGTAGAATCTGCAAGTGGAGATTTGGACCGCTTTGAGGCCTGTGGTAGTGAAGGAAAGAACTTCATATAAAAACCAGACGGTAGCACTCTCAGAAAATTCTTTGTGACGATGGAGTTTAACTCAGGGAGCTGAACATTCGTTATGATGGAGCAGTTTCCAAACACACGTTTTGTAGAATCTGCAAGGGGATATTTGGACCTCTCTGAGGATTTCGTTGGAAACGGGATCAACTTCCCATAACTGAACGGAAGCAAACTCAGAACATTCTTTGTGATGTTTGTATTCAACTCACAGAGTTGAACCTTCCTTTGATAGTTCAGGTTTGCAACACCCTTGTAGTAGAATCTGCAAGTGTATATTTTGACCACTTTGTAGCCTTCGTTTGAAACGTCTATATCTTCACATCAAACCTAGAAAGAAGCATTCTCAGAAAGTTTTCTGCGATGACTGCATTCAACTCACAGAGTTGAACAATCCTTCTGATGGAGCAGTTTTGAAACCCTCTTTCTTTGGAATCTGCAAGGGGATATGTGGACCTCTTTGAAGATTTCACTGGAAACGGGATCATCTTCACATAAAAACTAAACAGAAGCATTCTCGGAAACTACTTTGTGATGTTTGTATTCAACTCCCAGAGTTGAACTTTCCTTTTGAAAGAGCAGCTATGAAACACTCTTTTTCGAGAATCTGCAAGTGGACGTTTGGAGGGCTTTGAGGCCTGTGGTGGAAAAGGAAATATCTTCACATAAAAACTAGATAGAAGCATTCTCAGAAACGACTTTGTGAGGATGGCATTCAACTCATGGAGTTGAACAATCCTATTGATAGAGCAGATTGGAATCACTCTTTTTGTAGAATCTGCAAATGGAGATTTGGACTGCTTTGAGGCCTACGGTAGTATAGGAAGGAACTTCATATAAAAGGCAAACGGAAGCATTCTCAGAATATTCTTTGTGATGATGGAGTTTCACTCACAGAGCTGAACATGCCTTTTGATGGAGCAGTTTCCAAATACACTTTTGGTAGAATCTGCAGGTGGATATTTGGACCTCTCTGAGGATTTCGTTGGAAACGGGAATAATTTCCCATAACTAAACACAAACACTCTGAGAAAGTTCTTCATGATGAATGCATTTAACTCGCAGAGATGAACCTGCCTTTGAGAGTTCAGGTTCGAAACACTCTTTCTGTAGAATCTGCAAGTGGATATTTGGACCACTGTGTGGCCTTCGTTCGAAACGGGTATATGTTCACGTAAAAACTAAAGAGAAGCATTCTCAGAAACTTCTGAGTGATGATTGCATTCAAGTCACACGGTTGAACCCTCCTTTTGATTGAGCAGTTTTGAAACTGTCTTTTTGTAGAATCTGTAAGTGGATACGTGGACCTCTTTGAAGATTTCTTTGGAAACGGGAATATTTCCACAGAAAAACTAAACTGAAGCATTCTCAGAAACTGCTTTGTGATGTTTGTGTTCGAGCCACAGAGTTTAACATTGCTTTTCATAGAGCAGTTTTGAAGTATTCTTTTGGCAGAATCTGCAAGTGGACATTTCGAGCGCTTTCAGGCCTGTGGTGGAAAAGGCCTGAAAGCCTTTTCCTTTATCTTCACAGAAAGACGAGAGAGAAGCATTGTCAGAAACTTCTTTGTGATGATTGCATTCAACTCACAGAGTTGAAGATTCCTTTTGAAACAGCAGTTTCGAAACACTCTTTCTGTGGGATCCGCAAGGGGATATTTGGACCTCTTTGAAGATTTCGTTGGAAACGGGATAATCTTCACCTAAAAGCTAAACGGAAGCATTCTCAGAAACTTCTTTGGGATGTTTGCATTCACCTCACAGAGTTGAACTTTCCCTTTGATAGCGCAGCTTCGACACACTTTTTCTACAATGTGCAAGTGGATATTTAGCGGGCTTGGAGGACTGTGTTGGAAAAGGAAATATCTTCTCCTAAAAACGACATAGAAGCATTCTCAGAAACTGCTCTGTGATGATTGCATTCAACTCCCAGAGTTGAACATTCCTTTTGATAGAGCAGTTTGCAAACACTCTTTTTGTAGAATCTGCAAGTGGAGATTTGGACCGCTTTGAGGCCTGTGGTAGTAAAGGAAAGAACTTCATATAAAAACTAGACGGTAGCACCCTCAGAAAATTCTTTGTGACGATGGAGTTTAACTCAGAGAGCTGAACATTCGTTATGATGGAGCAGTTTCCAAACACACGTTTTGTAGAATCTGCAAGGGGATATTTGGACCTCTCTGAGGATTTCGTTGGAAACGGGATCAACTTCCCATAACTGAACGGAAGCAAACTCAGAACATTCTTTGTGATGTTTGTATTCAACTCACAGAGTTGAACCTTCCTTTGATAGTTCAAGTTTGCATCACCCTTGTAGTAGAATCTGTAAGTGTATATTTTGACCACTTTGTAGCCTTCGTTTGAAACGTCTATATCTTCACATCAAACCTAGACAGAAGCATTCTCAGAAAGTTTTCTGCGATGACTGCATTCAACTCACAGAGTTGAACAATCCTTTTGATGGAGCAGTTTAGAAACCCTCTTTCTTTGGAATCTGCAAGGGGATATGTGGACCTCTTTGAAGATTTCACTGGAAACGGGATCATCTTCACATAAGAACTAAACAGAAGCATTCTCGGAAACTACTTTGTGATGTTTGTATTCAACTCCCAGAGTTGAACTTTCCTTTTGAAAGAGCAGCTATGAAACACTCTTTTTCGAGAATCTGCAAGTGGACGTTTGGAGGGCTTTGAGGCCTGTGGTGGAAAAGGAAATATCTTCACATAAAAACTAGATAGAAGCATTCTCAGAAACGACTTTGTGAGGATGGCATTCAACTCATGGAGTTGAACAATCCTATTGATAGAGCAGATTGGAATCACTCTTTTTGTAGAATCTGCAAATGGAGATTTGGACTGCTTTGAGGCCTACGGTAGTATAGGAAGGAACTTCATATAAAAGGCAAACGGAAGCATTCTCAGAATATTCTTTGTGATGATGGAGTTTCACTCACAGAGCTGAACATGCCTTTTGATGGAGCAGTTTCCAAATACACTTTTGGTAGAATCTGCAGGTGGATATTTGGACCTCTCTGAGGATTTCGTTGGAAACGGGAATAATTTCCCATACCTAAACACAAACACTCTGAGAAAGTTCTTCATGATGAATGCATTGAACTCGCAGAGATGAACCTGCCTTTGAGAGTTCAGGTTCGAAACACTCTTTCTGTAGAATCTGCAAGTGGATATTTGGACCACTGGGTGGCCTTCGTTCGAAACGGTTATATGTTCACATAAAAACTAAAGAGAAGCATTCTCAGAAACTTCTGAGTGATGATTGCATTCAAGTCACACGGTTGAACCCTCCTTTTGATTGAGCAGTTTTGAAACTGTCTTTTTGTAGAATCTGTAAGTGGATACGTGGACCTCTTTGAAGATTTCTTTCGAAACGGGAATATTTCCACAGAAAAACTAAACTGAAGCATTCTCAGAAACGGCTTTGTGATGTTTGTGTTCGAGCCACAGAGTTTAACATTGCTTTTCATAGAGCAGTTTTGAAATATTCTTTTGGCAGAATCTGCAAGTGGACATTTGGAGCGCTTTCAGGCCTGTGGTGGAAAAGGCCTGAAAGCCTTTTCCTTTATCTTCACAGAAAGACGAGAGAGAAGCATTGTCAGAAACTTCTTTGTGATGATTGCATTCAACTCACAGAGTTGAAGATTCCTTTTGAAACAGCAGTTTCGAAACACTCTTTCTGTGGGATCCGCAAGGGGATATTTGGACCTCTTTGAAGATTTCGTTGGAAACGGGATAATCTTCACCTAAAAGCTAAACGGAAGCATTCTCAGAAACTTCTTTGGGATGTTTGCATTCACCTCACAGAGTTGAACTTTCCCTTTGATAGCGCAGCTTCGACACACTTTTTCTACAATGTGCAAGTGGATATTTAGCGGGCTTGGAGGACTGTGTTGGAAAAGGAAATATCTTCTCCTAAAAACGACATAGAAGCATTCTCAGAAACTGCTCTGTGATGATTGCATTCAACTCCCAGAGTTGAACATTCCTTTTGATAGAGCAGTTTGCAAACACTCTTTTTGTAGAATCTGCAAGTGGAGATTTGGACCGCTTTGAGGCCTGTGGTAGTAAAGGAAAGAACTTCCTATAAAAACTAGACGGTAGCACTCTCAGAAAATTCTTTGTGACGATGGAGTTTAACTCAGAGAGCTGAACATTCGTTATGATGGAGCAGTTTCCAAACACACGTTTTGTAGAATCTGCAAGGGGATATTTGGACCTCTCTGAGGATTTCGTTGGAAACGGGATCAACTTCCCATAACTGAACGGAAGCAAACTCAGAACATTCTTTATGATGTTTGAATTCAACTCACAGAGTTGAACCTTCCTTTGATAGTTCAGGTTTGCAACACCCTTGTAGTAGAATCTGCAAGTGTATATTTTGACCACTTTGTAGCCTTCGTTTGAAACGTCTATATCTTCACATCAAACCTAGACAGAACCATTCTCAGAAAGTTTTCTGCGATGACTGCATTCAACTCACAGAGGTGAACAATCCTTTTGATGGAGCAGTTTTGAAACCCTCTTTCTTTGGAATCTGCAAGGGGATATGTGGACCTCTTTGAAGATTTCACTGGAAACGGGATCATCTTCACATAAGAACTAAACAGAAGCATTCTCGAAAACTACTTTGTGATGTTTGTATTCACCTCCCAGAGTTGAACTTTCCTTTTGAAAGAGCAGCTATGAAACACTCTTTTTCGAGAATCTGCAAGTGGACGTTTGGAGGGCTTTGAGGCCTGTGGTGGAAAAGGAAATATCTTCACATAAAAACTAGATAGAAGCATTCTCAGAAACGAGTTTGTGAGGATGGCATTCAACTCATGGAGTTGAACAATCCTATTGATAGAGCAGATTGGAATCACTCTTTTTGTAAAATCTGCAAATGGAGATTTGGACTGCTTTGAGGCCTACGGTAGTATAGGAAGGAACTTCATATAAAAGGCAAACGGAAGCATTCTCAGAATATTCTTTGTGATGATGGAGTTTCACTCACAGAGCTGAACATGCCTTTTGATGGAGCAGTTTCCAAATACACTTTTGGTAGAATCTGCAGGTGGATATTTGGAGCTCTCTGAGGATTTCGTTGGAAACGGGAATAATTTCCCATAACTAAACACAAACACGCTGAGAAAGTTCTTCATGATGAATGCATTTAACTCGCAGAGATGAACCTGCCTTTGAGAGTTCAGGTTCGAAACACTCTTTCTGTAGAATCTGCAAGTGGATATTTGGACCACTGGCTGGCTTTCGTTCGAAACGGGTATATGTTCACGTAAAAACTAAAGAGAAGCATTCTCAGAAACTTCTGAGTGATGATTGCATTCAAGTCACACAGTTGAACCCTCCTTTTGATGGAGCAGTTTTGAAACTGTCTTTTTGTAGAATCTGTAAGTGGATACGTGGACCTCTTTGAAGATTTCTTTGGAAACGGGAATATTTCCACAGAAAAACTAAACTGAAGCATTCTCAGAAACCGCCTTGTGATGTTTGTGTTCGAGCCACAGAGTTTAACATTGCGTTTCATAGAGCAGTTTTGAAATATTCTTTTGGCAGAATCTGCAAGTGGACATTTGGAGCGCTTTCAGGCCTGTGGTGGAAAAGGCCTGAAAGCCTTTTCCTTTATCTTCACAGAAAGACGAGAGAGAAGCATTGTCAGAAACTTCTTTGTGATGATTGCATTCAACTCACAGAGTTGAAGATTCCTTTTGAAACAGCAGTTTCGAAACACTCTTTCTGTGGGATCCGCAAGGGGATATTTGGACCTCTTTGAAGGTTTCGTTGGAAACGGGATAATCTTCACCTAAAAGCTAAACGGAAGCATTCTCAGAAACTTCTTTGGGATGTTTGCATTCACCTCACAGAGTTGAACTTTCCCTTTGATAGCGCAGCTTTGACACACTTTTTCTACAATGTGCAAGTGGCTATTTAGCGGGCTTGGAGGACTGTGTTGGAAAAGGAAATATCTTCTCCTAAAAACGACATAGAAGCATTCTCAGAAACTGCTCTGTGATGATTGCATTCAACTCCCAGAGTTGAACATTCCTTTTGATAGAGCAGTTTGCAAACACTCTTTTTGTAGAATCTGCAAGTGGAGATTTGGACCGCTTTGAGGCCTGTGATAGTGAAGGAAAGAACTTCATATAAAAACCAGACGGTAGCACTCTCAGAAAATTCTTTGTGACGATGGAGTTTAACTCAGGGAGCTGAACATTCGTTATGATGGAGCAGTTTCCAAACACACGTTTTGTAGAATCTGCGAGGGGATATTTGGACCTCTCTGAGTATTTCGTTGGAAACGGGATCAACTTCCCATAACTGAACGGAAGCAAACTCAGAACATTCTTTGTGATGTTTGTATTCAATTCACAGAGTTGAACCTTCCTTTGATAGTTCAGGTTTGCAACACCCTTGTAGTAGAATCTGCAAGTGTATATTTTGACCACTTTGTAGCCTTCGTTTGAAACGTCTATATCTTCACATCAAACCTAGACAGAAGCATTCTCGGAAACTATTTTGTGATGTTTGTATTCAACTCCCAGAGTTGAACTTTCCTTTTGAAAGAGCAGCTATGAAACACTCTTTTTCGAGAATCTGCAAGTGGACGTTTGGAGGGCTTTGAGGCCTGTGGTGGAAAAGGAAATATCTTCACACAAAAACCAGATAGAAGCATTCTCAGAAACTACTTTGTGAGGATGGCATTCAACTCATGGAGTTGAACAATCCTATTGATAGAGCAGATTGGAATCACTCTTTTTGTAGAATCTGCAAATGGAGATTTGGACTGCTTTGAGGCCTACAGTAGTACAGGAAGGAACTTCATATAAAAGGCAAACGGAAGCATTCTCAGAATATTCTTTGTGATGATGGAGTTTCACTCACAGAGCTGAACATGCCTTTTGATGGAGCAGTTTCCAAATACACTTTTGGTAGAATCTGCAGGTGGATATTTGGAGCTCTCTGAGGATTTCGTTGGAAACGGGAATAATTTCCCATAACTAAACACAAACACTCTGAGAAAGTTCTTCATGATGAATGCATTTAACTCGCAGAGATGAACCTGCCTTTGAGAGTTCAGGTTCGAAACACTCTTTCTGTAGAATCTGCAAGTGGATATTTGGACCACTGGGTGGCCTTCGTTCGAAACGGGTATATGTTCACGTAAAAACTAAAGAGAAGCATTCTCAGAAACTTCTGAGTGATGATTGCATTCAAGTCACACAGTTGAACCCTCCTTTTGATGGAGCAGTTTTGAAACTGTCTTTTTGTAGAATCTGTAAGTGGATACGTGGACCTCTTTGAAGATTTCTTTGGAAACGGGAATATTTCCACAGAAAAACTAAACTGAAGCATTCTCAGAAACCGCTTTGTGATGTTTGTGTTCGAGCCACAGAGTTTAACATTGCTTTTCACAAAGCAGTTTTGAAATATTCTTTTGGCAGAATCTGCAAGTGGACATTTGGAGCGCTTTCAGGCCTGTGGTGGCAAAGGCCTGAAAGCATTTATTTATCTTCACAGAAAGACGAGAGAGAAGCATTGTCAGAAACTTCTTTGTGATGATTGCATTCAACTCACAGAGTTGAAGATTCCTTTTGAAACAGCAGTTTCGAAACACTCTTTCTGTGGGATCCGCAAGGGGATATTTGGACTTCTTTGAAGGTTTCGTTGGAAACGGGATAATCTTCACCTAAAAGCTAAACGGAAGCACTCTCAGAAACTTCTTTGGGATGTTTGCATTCACCTCTCAGAGTTGAACTTTCCCTTTGATAGCGCAGCTTTGACACACTTTTTCTACAATGTGCAAGTGGCTATTTAGCGGACTTGGAGGACTGTGTTGGAAAAGGAAATATCTTCTCCTAAAAACGACATAGAAGCATTCTCAGAAACTGCTCTGTGATGATTGCATTCAACTCCCAGAGTTGAACATTCCTTTTGATAGAGCAGTTTGCAAACACTCTTTTTGTAGAATCTGCAAGTGGAGATTTGGACCGCTTTGAGGCCTGTGGTAGTGAAGGAAAGAACTTCATATAAAAACCAGACGGTAGCACTCTCAGAAAATTCTTTGTGACGATGGAGTTTAACTCAGGGAGCTGAACATTCGTTATGATGGAGCAGTTTCCAAACACACGTTTTGTAGAATCTGCAAGGGGATATTTGGACCTCTCTGAGGATTTCGTTGGAAACGGGATCAACTTCCCATAACTGAACGGAAGCAAACTCAGAACATTCTTTGTGATGTTTGTATTCAACTCACAGAGTTGAACCTTCCTTTGATAGTTCAGGTTTGCAACACCCTTGTAGTAGAATCTGCAAGTGTATATTTTGACCACTTTGTAGCCTTCGTTTGAAACGTCTATATCTTCACATCAAACCTAGACAGAAGCATTCTCAGAAAGTTTTCTGCGATGACTGCATTCCACTCACAGAGTTGAACAATCCTTCTGATGGAGCAGTTTTGAAACCCTCTTTCTTTGGAATCTGCAAGGGGATATGTGGACCTCTTTGAAGATTTCACTGGAAACGGGATCATCTTCACATAAAAACTAAACAGAAGCATTCTCGGAAACTACTTTGTGATGTTTGTATTCAACTCCCAGAGTTGAACTTTCCTTTTGAAAGAGCAGCTATGAAACACTCTTTTTCGAGAATCTGCAAGTGGACGTTTGGAGGGCTTTGAGGCCTGTGGTGGAAAAGGAAATATCTTCACATTAAAACTAGATAGAAGCATTCTCAGAAACTACTTTGTGAGGATGGCATTCAACTCATGGAGTTGAACAATCCTATTGATAGAGCAGATTGGAATCACTCTTTTTGTAGAATCTGCAAATGGAGATTTGGACTGCTTTGAGGCCTACGGTAGTATAGGAAGGAACTTCATATAAAAGGCAAACGGAAGCATTCTCAGAATATTCTTTGTGATGATGGAGTTTCACTCACAGAGCTGAACATGCCTTTTGATGGAGCAGTTTCCAAATACACTTTTGGTAGAATCTGCAGGTGGATATTTGGAGCTCTCTGAGGATTTCGTTGGAAACGGGAATAATTTCCCATAACTAAACACAAACACTCTGAGAAAGTTCTTCATGATGAATGCATTTAACTCGCAGAGATGAACCTGCCTTTGAGAGTTCAGGTTCGAAACACTCTTTCTGTAGAATCTGCAAGTGGATATTTGGACCACTGGGTGGCCTTCGTTCGAAACGGGTATATGTTCACGTAAAAACTAAAGAGAAGCATTCTCAGAAACTTCTGAGTGATGATTGCATTCAAGTCACACAGTTGAACCCTCCTTTTGATGGAGCAGTTTTGAAACTGTCTTTTTGTAGAATCTGTAAGTGGATGCGTGGACCTCTTTGAAGATTTCTTTGGAAACGGGAATATTTCCACAGAAAAACTAAACTGAAGCATTCTCAGAAACTGCTTTGTGATGTTTGTGTTCGAGCCACAGAGTTTAACATTGCTTTTCATAGAGCAGTTTTGAAATATTCTTTTCGCAGAATCTGCAAGTGGACATTTGGAGCGCTTTCAGGCCTGTGGTGGAAAAGGCCTGAAAGCCTTTTCCTTT
Organism: Homo sapiens; assembly: GCF_000001405.40. Classification (NCBI taxonomy): domain Eukaryota; kingdom Metazoa; phylum Chordata; class Mammalia; order Primates; family Hominidae; genus Homo; species Homo sapiens. The sequence goes on from NC_000023.11 coordinate 60,326,611, forward strand.
ATCTTCACAGAAAGACGAGAGAGAAGCATTGTCAGAAACTTCTTTGTGATGATTGCATTCAACTCACAGAGTTGAAGATTCCTTTTGAAACAGCAGTTTCAAAACACTCTTTCTGTGGGATCCGCAAGGGGATATTTGGACCTCTTTGAAGGTTTCGTTGGAAACGGGATAATCTTCACCTAAAAGCTAAACGGAAGCATTCTCAGAAACTTCTTTGGGATGTTTGCATTCACCTCACAGAGTTGAACTTTCCCTTTGATAGCGCAGCTTTGACACACTTTTTCTACAATGTGCAAGTGGCTATTTAGCGGGCTTGGAGGACTGTGTTGGAAAAGGAAATATCTTCTCCTAAAAACGACATAGAAGCATTCTCAGAAACTGCTCTGTGATGATTGCATTCAACTCCCAGAGTTGAACATTCCTTTTGATAGAGCAGTTTGCAAACACTCTTTTTGTAGAATCTGCAAGTGGAGATTTGGACCGCTTTGAGGCCTGTGGTAGTGAAGGAAAGAACTTCATATAAAAACCAGACGGTAGCACTCTCAGAAAATTCTTTGTGACGATGGAGTTTAACTCAGGGAGCTGAACATTCGTTATGATGGAGCAGTTTCCAAACACACGTTTTGTAGAATCTGCAAGGGGATATTTGGACCTCTCTGAGGATTTCGTTGGAAACGGGATCAACTTCCCATAACTGAACGGAAGCAAACTCAGAACATTCTTTGTGATGTTTGTATTCAACTCACAGAGTTCAACCTTCCTTTGATAGTTCAGGTTTGCAACACCCTTGTAGTAGAATCTGCAAGTGTATATTTTGACCACTTTGTAGCCTTCGTTTGAAACGTCTATATCTTCACATCAAACCTAGACAGAAGCATTCTCAGAAAGTTTTCTGCGATGACTGCATTCAACTCACAGAGTTGAACAATCCTTCTGATGGAGCAGTTTTGAAACCCTCTTTCTTTGGAATCTGCAAGGGGATATGTGGACCTCTTTGAAGATTTCACTGGAAACGGGATCATCTTCACATAAAAACTAAACAGAAGCATTCTCGGAAACTACTTTGTGATGTTTGTATTCAACTCCCAGAGTTGAACTTTCCTTTTGAAAGAGCAGCTATGAAACACTCTTTCTCGAGAATCTGCAAGTGGACGTTTGGAGGGCTTTGAGGCCTGTGGTGGAAAAGGAAATATCTTCACATAAAAACTAGATAGAAGCATTCTCAGAAACGACTTTGTGAGGATGGCATTCAACTCATGGAGTTGAACAATCCTATTGATAGAGCAGATTGGAATCACTCTTTTTGTAGAATCTGCAAATGGAGATTTGGACTGCTTTGAGGCCTACGGTCGTATAGGAAGGAACTTCATATAAAAGGCAAACGGAAGCATTCTCAGAATATTCTTTGTGATGATGGAGTTTCACTCACAGAGCTGAACATGCCTTTTGATGGAGCAGTTTCCAAATACACTTTTGGTAGAATCTGCAGGTGGATATTTGGAGCTCTCTGAGGATTTCGTTGGAAACGGGAATAATTTCCCATAACTAAACACAAACACTCTGAGAAAGTTCTTCATGATGAATGCATTTAACTCGCAGAGATGAACCTGCCTTTGAGAGTTCAGGTTCGAAACACTCTTTCTGTAGAATCTGCAAGTGGATATTTGGACCACTGGGTGGCCTTCGTTCGAAACGGGTATATGTTCACGTAAAAACTAAAGAGAAGCATTCTCAGAAACTTCTGAGTGATGATTGCATTCAAGTCACACGGTTGAACCCTCCTTTTGATTGAGCAGTTTTGAAACTGTCTTTTTGTAGAATCTGTAAGTGGATACGTGGACCTCTTTGAAGATTTCTTTCGAAACGGGAATATTTCCACAGAAAAACTAAACTGAAGCATTCTCAGAAACTGCTTTGTGATGTTTGTGTTCGAGCCACAGAGTTTAACATTGCTTTTCATAGAGCAGTTTTGAAATATTCTTTTGGCAGAATCTGCAAGTGGACATTTGGAGCGCTTTCAGGCCTGTGGTGGAAAAGGCCTGAAAGCCTTTTCCTTTATCTTCACAGAAAGACGAGAGAGAAGCATTGTCAGAAACTTCTTTGTGATGATTGCATTCAACTCACAGAGTTGAAGATTCCTTTTGAAACAGCAGTTTCGAAACACTCTTTCTGTGGGATCCGCAAGGGGATATTTGGACCTCTTTGAAGATTTCGTTGGAAACGGGATAATCTTCACCTAAAAGCTAAACGGAAGCATTCTCAGAAACTTCTTTGGGATGTTCGCATTCACCTCACAGAGTTGAACTTTCCCTTTGATAGCGCAGCTTCGACACACTTTTTCTAAAATGTGCAAGTGGATATTTAGCGGGCTTGCAGGACTGTGTTGGAAAAGGAAATATCTTCTCCTAAAAACCACATAGAAGCATTCTCAGAAACTGCTCTGTGATGATTGCATTCAACTCCCAGAGTTGAACATTCCTTTTGATAGAGCAGTTTGCAAACACTCTTTTTGTAGAATCTGCAAGTGGAGATTTGGACCGCTTTGAGGCCTGTGGTAGTAAAGGAAAGAACTTCATATAAAAACTAGACGGTAGCACTCTCAGAAAATTTTTTGTGACGATGGAGTTTAACTCAGAGAGCTGAACATTCGTTATGATGGAGCAGTTTCCAAACACACGTTTTGTAGAATCTGCAAGGGGATATTTGGACCTCTCTGAGGATTTCGTTGGAAACGGGATCAACTTCCCATAACTGAACGGAAGCAAACTCAGAACATTCTTTATGACGTTTGAATTCAACTCACAGAGTTGAACATTCCTTTGATAGTTCAGGTTTGCAACACCCTTGCAGTAGAATCTGCAAGTGTATATTTTGACCACTTTGTAGCCTTCGTTTGAAAGGTCTATATCTTCACATCAAACCTAGACAGAAGCATTCTCAGAAAATTTTCTGCGATGACTGCATTCAACTCACAGAGTTGAACAATCCTTTTGATGGAGCAGTTTTGAAACCCTCTTTCTTTGGAATCTGCAATGGGATATGTGGACCTCTTTGAAGATTTCACTGGAAACGGGATCATCTTCACATAAGAACTAAACAGAAGCATTCTCGGAAACTACTTTGTGATGTTTGTATTCAACTCCCAGAGTTGAACTTTCCTTTTGAAAGAGCAGCTATGAAACACTCTTTTTCGAGAATCTGCAAGTGGACGTTTGGAGGGCTTTGAGGCCTGTGGTGGAAAAGGAAATATCTTCACATAAAAACTAGATAGAAGCATTCTCAGAAACGACTTTGTGAGGATGGCATTCAACTCATGGAGTTGAACAATCCTATTGATAGAGCAGATTGGAATCACTCTTTTTGTAGAATCTGCAAATGGAGATTTGGACTGCTTTGAGGCCTACGGTAGTATAGGAAGGAACTTCATATAAAAGGCAAACGGAAGCATTCTCAGAATATTCTTTGTGATGATGGAGTTTCACTCACAGAGCTGAACATGCCTTTTGATGGAGCAGTTTCCAAATACACTTTTGGTAGAATCTGCAGGTGGATATTTGGACCTCTCTGAGGATTTCGTTGGAAACGGCAATAATTTCCCATACCTAAACACAAACACGCTGAGAAAGTTCTTCATGTTGAATGCATTGAACTCGCAGAGATGAACCTGCCTTTGAGAGTTCAGGTTCGAAACACTCTTTCTGTAGAATCTGCAAGTGGATATTTGGACCACTGGGTGGCCTTCGTTCGAAACGGGTATATGTTCACGTAAAAACTAAAGAGAAGCTTTCTCAGAAACTTCTGACTGATGATTGCATTCAAGTCACACGGTTGAACCCTCCTTTTGATTGAGCAGTTTTGAAACTGTCTTTTTGTAGAATCTGTAAATGGATACGTGGACCTCTTTGAAGATTTCTTTGGAAACGGGAATATTTCCACAGAAAAACTAAACTGAAGCATTCTCAGAAACTGCTTTGTGATGTTTGTGTTCGAGCCGCAGAGTTTAACATTGCTTTTCATAGAGCAGTTTTGAAATATTCTTTTGGCAGAATCTGCAAGTGGACATATGGAGCGCTTTCAGGCCTGTGGTGGAAAAGGCCTGAAAGCCTTTTCCTTTATCTTCACAGAAAGATGAGGGAGAAGCATTGTCAGAAACTTCTTTGTGATGATTGCATTCAACTCACAGAGTTGAAGATTCCTTTTGAAACAGCAGTTTCGAAACACTCTTTCTGTGGGATCCGCAAGGGGATATTTGGACCTCTTTGAAGATTTCGTTGGAAACGGGATAATCTTCACCTAAAAGCTGAACGGAAGCATTCTCAGAAACTTCTTTGGGATGTTTGCATTCACCTCACAGAGTTGAACTTTCCCTTTGATAGCGCAGCTTCGACACATTTTTCTACAATGTGCAAGTGGAGATTTGGACCGCTTTGAGGCCTGTGGTAGTAAAGGAAACAACTTCATATAAAAACTAGACGGTAGCACTCTCAGAAAACTCTTTGTGACGATGGAGTTTAACTCAGGGAGCTGAACATTAGTTATGATGGAGCAGTTTCCAAACACACGTTTTGTAGAATCTGCAAGGGGATATTTGGACCTCTCTGAGGATTTCATTGGAAACGGGATCAACTTCCCATAACTGAACGGAAGCAAACTCAGAACATTCTTTGTGATGTTTGTATTCAACTCACAGAGTTGAACCTTCCTTTGATAGTTCAGGTTTGCAACACCCTTGTAGTAGAATCTGCAAGTGTATATTTTGACCACTTTGTAGCCTTCATTTGAAACGTCTATACCTTCACATCAAACCTAGACAGAAGCATTCTCAGAAAGTTTTCTGCGATGACTGCATTCAACTCACAGAGTTGAACAATCCTTCTGATGGAGCAGTTTTGAAACCCTCTTTCTTTGGAATCTGCAAGGGGATATGTGGACCTCTTTGAAGATTTCACTGGAAACGGGATCATCTTCACATAAAAACTAAACAGAAGCATTCTCGGAAACTACTTTGTGATGTTTGTATTCAACTCCCAGAGTTGAACTTTCCTTTTGAAAGAGCAGCTATGAAACACTCTTTTTCGAGAATCTGCAAGTGGACGTTTGGAGGGCTTTGAGGCCTGTGGTGGAAAAGGAAATATCTTCACACAAAAACCAGATAGAAGCATTCTCAGAAACTACTTTGTGAGGATGGCATTCAACTCATGGAATTGAACAATCCTATTGATAGAGCAGATTGGAATCACTCTTTTCATAGAATCTGCAAATGGAGATTTGGACTGCTTTGAGGCCTACGGTAGTACAGGAAGGAACTTCATATAAAAGGCAAACGGAAGCATTCTCAGAATATTCTTTGTGATGATGGAGTTTCACTCACAGAGGTGAACATGCCTTTTGATGGAGCAGTTTCCAAATACACTTTTGGTAGAATCTGCAGGTGGATATTTGGAGCTCTCTGAGGATTTCGTTGGAAACGGGAATAATTTCCCATAACTAAACACAAACACTCTGAGAAAGTTCTTCATGATGAATGCATTTAACTCGCAGAGATGAACCTGCCTTTGAGAGTTCAGGTTCGAAACACTCTTTCTGTATAATCTGCAAGTGGATATTTGGACCACTGGGTGGCCTTCGTTCGAAACGGGTATATGTTCACGTAAAAACTAAAGAGAAGCATTCTCAGAAACTTCTGAGTGATGATTGCATTCAAGTCACACAGTTGAACCCTCCTTTTGATGGAGCAGTTTTGAAACTGTCTTTTTGTAGAATCTGTAAGTGGATACGTGGACCTCTTTGAAGATTTCTTTGGAAACGGGAATATTTCCACAGAAAAACTAAACTGAAGCATTCTCAGAAACCGCTTTGTGATGTTTGTGTTCGAGCCGCAGAGTTTAACATTGCTTTTCATAGAGCAGTTTTGAAATATTCTTTTGGCAGAATCTGCAAGTGGACATTTGGACCGCTTTCAGGCCTGTGGTGGCAAAGGCCTGAAAGCCTTTTCCTTTATCTTCACAGAAAGACGAGAGAGAAGCATTGTCAGAAACTTCTTTGTGATGATTGCATTCAACTCACAGAGTTGAAGATTCCTTTTGAAACAGCAGTTTCGAAACACTCTTTCTGTGGGATCCGCAAGGGGATATTTGGACCTCTTTGAAGGTTTCGTTGGAAACGGGATAATCTTCACCTAAAAGCTAAACGGAAGCATTCTCAGAAACTTCTTTGGGATGTTTGCATTCACCTGACAGAGTTGAACTTTCCCTTTGATAGCGCAGCTTTGACACACTTTTTCTACAATGTGCAAGTGGCTATTTAGCGGGCTTGGAGGACTGTGTTGGAAAAGGAAATATCTTCTCCTAAAAACGACATAGAAGCATTCTCAGAAACTGCTCTGTGATGATTGCATTCAACTCCCAGAGTTGAACATTCCTTTTGATAGAGCAGTTTGCAAACACTCTTTTTGTAGAATCTGCAAGTGGAGATTTGGACCGCTTTGAGGCCTGTGGTAGTGAAGGAAAGAACTTCATATAAAAACCAGACGGTAGCACTCTCAGAAAATTCTTTGTGACGATGGAGTTTAACTCAGGGAGCTGAACATTCGTTATGATGGAGCAGTTTCCAAACACACGTTTTGTAGAATCTGCGAGGGGATATTTGGACCTCTCTGAGGATTTCGTTGGAAACGGGATCAACTTCCCATAACTGAACGGAAGCAAACTCAGAACATTCTTTGTGATGTTTGTATTCAACTCACAGAGTTGAACCTTCCTTTGATAGTTCAGGTTTGCAACACCCTTGTAGTAGAATCTGCAAGTGTATATTTTGACCACTTTGTAGCCTTCGTTTGAAACGTCTATATCTTCACATCAAACCTAGACAGAAGCATTCTCAGAAAGTTTTCTGCGATGACTGCATTCAACTCACAGAGTTGAACAATCCTCTGATGGAGCAGTTTTGAAACCCTCTTTCTTTGGAATCTGCAAGGGGATATGTGGACCTCTTTGAAGATTTCACTGGAAACGGGATCATCTTCACATAAAAACTAAACAGAAGCATTCTCGGAAACTATTTTGTGATGTTTGTATTCAACTCCCAGAGTTGAACTTTCCTTTTGAAAGAGCAGCTATGAAACACTCTTTTTCGAGAATCTGCAAGTGGACGTTTGGAGGGCTTTGAGGCCTGTGGTGGAAAAGGAAATATCTTCACACAAAAACCAGATAGAAGCATTCTCAGAAACTACTTTGTGAGGATGGCATTCAACTCATGGAGTTGAACAATCCTATTGATAGAGCAGATTGGAATCACTCTTTTTATAGAATCTGCAAATGGAGATTTGGACTGCTTTGAGGCCTACGGTAGTACAGGAAGGAACTTCATATAAAAGGCAAACGGAAGCATTCTCAGAATATTCTTTGTGATGATGGAGTTTCACTCACAGAGCTGAACATGCCTTTTGATGGAGCAGTTTCCAAATACACTTTTGGTAGAATCTGCAGGTGGATATTTGGAGCTCTCTGAGGATTTCGTTGGAAACGGGAATAATTTCCCATAACTAAACACAAACACTCTGAGAAAGTTCTTCATGATGAATGCATTTAACTCGCAGAGATGAACCTGCCTTTGAGAGTTCAGGTTCGAAACACTCTTTCTGTATAATCTGCAAGTGGATATTTGGACCACTGGGTGGCCTTCGTTCGAAACGGGTATATGTTCACGTAAAAACTAAAGAGAAGCATTCTCAGAAACTTCTGAGTGATGATTGCATTCAAGTCACACAGTTGAACCCTCCTTTTGATGGAGCAGTTTTGAAACTGTCTTTTTGTAGAATCTGTAAGTGGATACGTGGACCTCTTTGAAGATTTCTTTGGAAACGGGAATATTTCCACAGAAAAACTAAACTGAAGCATTTTCAGAAACTGCTTTGTGATGTTTGTGTTCGAGCCACAGAGTTTAACATTGCTTTTCATAGAGCAGTTTTGAAATATTCTTTTCGCAGAATCTGCAAGTGGACATTTGGAGCGCTTTCAGGCCTGTGGTGGAAAAGGCCTGAAAACCTTTTCCTTTATCTTCACAGAAAGACGAGAGAGAAGCATTGTCAGAAACTTCTTTGTGATGATTGCATTCAACTCACAGAGTTGAAGATTCCTTTTTAAACAGCAGTTTCGAAACACTCTTTCTGTGGGATCCGCAAGGGGATATTTGGACCTCTTTGAAGGTTTCGTTGGAAACGGGATAATCTTCACCTAAAAGCTAAACGGAAGCATTCTCAGAAACTTCTTTGGGATGTTTGCATTCACTTCACAGAGTTGAACTTTCCCTTTGATAGCGCAGCTTTGACACACTTTTTCTACAATGTGCAAGTGGCTATTTAGCGGGCTTGGAGGACTGTGTTGGAAAAGGAAATATCTTCTCCTAAAAACGACATAGAAGCATTCTCAGAAACTGCTCTGTGATGATTGCATTCAACTCCCAGAGTTGAACATTCCTTTTGATAGAGCAGTTTGCAAACACTCTTTTTGTAGAATCTGGAAGTGGAGATTTGGACCGCTTTGAGGCCTGTGGTAGTGAAGGAAAGAACTTCATATAAAAACCAGACGGTAGCACTCTCAGAAAATTCTTTGTGACGATGGAGTTTAACTCAGGGAGCTGAACATTCGTTATGATGGAGCAGTTTCCAAACACACGTTTTGTAGAATCTGCAAGGGGATATTTGGACCTCTCTGAGGATTTCGTTGGAAACGGGATCAACTTCCCATAACTGAACGGAAGCAAACTCAGAACATTCTTTGTGATGTTTGTATTCAACTCACAGAGTTGAACCTTCCTTTGATAGTTCAGGTTTGCAACACCCTTGTAGTAGAATCTGCAAGTGTATATTTTGACCACTTTGTAGCCTTCATTTGAAACGTCTATATCTTCACATCAAACCTAGACAGAAGCATTCTCAGAAAGTTTTCTGCGATGACTGCATTCAACTCACAGAGTTGAACAATCCTTCTGATGGAGCAGTTTTGAAACCCTCTTTCTTTGGAATCTGCAAGGGGATATGTGGACCTCTTTGAAGATTTCACTGGAAACGGGATCATCTTCACATAAAAACTAAACAGAAGCATTCTCGGAAACTACTTTGTGATGTTTGTATTCAGCTCCCAGAGTTGAACTTTCCTTTTGAAAGAGCAGCTATGAAACACTCTTTTTCGAGAATCTGCAAGTGGACGATTGGAGGGCTTTGAGGCCTGTGGTGGAAAAGGAAATATCTTCACATAAAAACTAGATAGAAGCATTCTCAGAAACGACTTTGTGAGGATGGCATTCAACTCATGGAGTTGAACAATCCTATTGATAGAGCAGATTGGAATCACTCTTTTTGTAGAATCTGCAAATGGAGATTTGGACTGCTTTGAGGCCTACGGTAGTACAGGAAGGAACTTCATATAAAAGGCAAACGGAAGCATTCTCAGAATATTCTTTGTGATGATGGAGTTTCACTGACAGAGCTGAACATGCCTTTTGATGGAGCAGTTTCCAAATACACTTTTGGTAGAATCTGCAGGTGGATATTTGGAGCTCTCTGAGGATTTCGTTGGAAACGGGAATAATTTCCCATAACTAAACACAAACACTCTGAGAAAGTTCTTCATGATGAATGCATTTAACTCGCAGAGATGAACCTGCCTTTGAGAGTTCAGGTTCGAAACACTCTTTCTGTAGAATCTGCAAGTGGATATTTGGACCACTGGCTGGCCTTCGTTCGAAACGGGTATATGTTCACGTAAAAACTAAAGAGAAGCATTCTCAGAAACTTCTGAGTGATGATTGCATTCAAGTCACACAGTTGAACCCTCCTTTTGATGGAGCAGTTTTGAAACTGTCTTTTTGTAGAATCTGTAAGTGGATACGTGGACCTCTTTGAAGATTTCTTTGGAAACGGGAATATTTCCACAGAAAAACTAAACTGAAGCATTCTCAGAAACCGCTTTGTGATGTTTGTGTTCGAGCCACAGAGTTTAACATTGCTTTTCATAGAGCAGTTTTGAAATATTCTTTTGGCAGAATCTGCAAGTGGACATTTGGAGCGCTTTCAGGCCTGTGGTGGAAAAGGCCTGAAAGCCTTTTCCTTTATCTTCACAGAAAGACGAGAGAGAAGCATTGTCAGAAACTTCTTTGTGATGATTGCATTCAACTCACAGAGTTGAAGATTCCTTTTGAAACAGCAGTTTCGAAACACTCTTTCTGTGGGATCCGCAAGGGGATATTTGGACCTCTTTGAAGGTTTCGTTGGAAACGGGATAATCTTCACCTAAAAGCTAAACGGAAGCATTCTCAGAAACTTCTTTGGGATGTTTGCATTCACCTCACAGAGTTGAACTTTCCCTTTGATAGCGCAGCTTTGACACACTTTTTCTACAATGTGCAAGTGGCTATTTAGCGGGCTTGGAGGACTGTGTTGGAAAAGGAAATATCTTCTCCTAAAAACGACATAGAAGCATTCTCAGAAACTGCTCTGTGATGATTGCATTCAACTCCCAGAGTTGAACATTCCTTTTGATAGAGCAGTTTGCAAACACTCTTTTTGTAGAATCTGCAAGTGGAGATTTGGACCGCTTTGAGGCCTGTGGTAGTGAAGGAAAGAACTTCATATAAAAACCAGACGGTAGCACTCTCAGAAAATTCTTTGTGACGATGGAGTTTAACTCAGGGAGCTGAACATTCGTTATGATGGAGCAGTTTCCAAACACATGTTTTGTAGAATCTGCGAGGGGATATTTGGACCTCTCTGAGGATTTCGTTGGAAACGGGATCAACTTCCCATAACTGAACGGAAGCAAACTCAGAACATTCTTTGTGATGTTTGTATTCAACTCACAGAGTTGAACCTTCCTTTGATAGTTCAGGTTTGCAACACCCTTGTAGTAGAATCTGCAAGTGTATATTTTGACCACTTTGTAGCCTTCGTTTGAAACGTCTATATCTTCACATCAAACCTAGAAAGAAGCATTCTCAGAAAGTTTTCTGCGATGACTGCATTCAACTCACAGAGTTGAACAATCCTTCTGATGGAGCAGTTTTGAAACCCTCTTTCTTTGGAATCTGCAAGGGGATATGTGGACCTCTTTGAAGATTTCACTGGAAACGGGATCATCTTCACATAAAAACTAAACAGAAGCATTCTCGGAAACTATTTTGTGATGTTTGTATTCAACTCCCAGAGTTGAACTTTCCTTTTGAAAGAGCAGCTATGAAACACTCTTTTTCGAGAATCTGCAAGTGGACGTTTGGAGGGCTTTGAGGCCTGTGGTGGAAAAGGAAATATCTTCACACAAAAACCAGATAGAAGCATTCTCAGAAACTACTTTGTGAGGATGGCATTCAACTCATGGAGTTGAACAATCCTATTGATAGAGCAGATTGGAATCACTCTTTTTGTAGAATCTGCAAATGGAGATTTGGACTGCTTTGAGGCCTACAGTAGTACAGGAAGGAACTTCATATAAAAGGCAAACGGAAGCATTCTCAGAATATTCTTTGTGATGATGGAGTTTCACTCACAGAGCTGAACATGCCTTTTGATGGAGCAGTTTCCAAATACACTTTTGGTAGAATCTGCAGGTGGATATTTGGAGCTGCTCTGAGGATTTCGTTGGAAACGGGAATAATTTCCCATAACTAAACACAACACTCTGAGAAAGTTCTTCATGATGAATGCATTTAACTCGCAGAGATGAACCTGCCTTTGAGAGTTCAGGTTCGAAACACTCTTTCTGTAGAATCTGCAAGTGGATATTTGGACCACTGGCTGGCCTTCGTTCGAAACGGGTATATGTTCACGTAAAAACTAAAGAGAAGCATTCTCAGAAACTTCTGAGTGATGATTGCATTCAAGTCACACAGTTGAACCCTCCTTTTGATTGAGCAGTTTTGAAACTGTCTTTTTGTAGAATCTGTAAGTGGATACGTGGACCTCTTTGAAGATTTCTTTGGAAACGGGAATATTTCCACAGAAAAACTAAACTGAAGCATTCTCAGAGACCGCTTTGTGATGTTTGTGTTCCAGCCACAGAGTTTAACATTGCTTTTCATAGAGCAGTTTTGAAATATTCTTTTGGCAGAATCTGCAAGTGGACATTTGGAGCGCTTTCAGGCCTGTGGTGGCAAAGGCCTGAACGCCTTTTCCTTTATGTTCACAGAAAGACGAGAGAGAAGCATTGTCAGAAACTTCTTTGTGATGATTGCATTCAACTCACAGAGTTGAAGATTCCTTTTGAAACAGCAGTTTCGAAACACTCTTTCTGTGGGATCCGCAAGGGGATATTTGGACCTCTTTGAAGCTTTCGTTGGAAACGGGATAATCTTCACCTAAAAGCTAAACGGAAGCATTCTCAGAAACTTCTTTGGGATGTTTGCATTCACCTCACAGAGTTGAACTTTCCCTTTGATAGCGCAGCTTTGACACACTTTTTCTACAATGTGCAAGTGGCTATTTAGCGGGCTTGGAGGACTGTGTTGGAAAAGGAAATATCTTCTCCTAAAAACGACATAGAAGCATTCTCAGAAACTGCTCTGTGATGATTGCATTCAACTCCCAGAGTTGAACATTCCTTTTGATAGAGCAGTTTGCAAACACTCTTTTTGTAGAATCTGCAAGTGGAGATTTGGACCGCTTTGAGGTCTGTGGTAGTGAAGGAAAGAACTTCATATAAAAACCAGACGGTAGCACTCTCAGAAAATTCTTTGTGACGATGGAGTTTAACTCAGGGAGCTGAACATTCGTTATGATGGAGCAGTTTCCAAACACACGTTTTGTAGAATCTGCAAGGGGATATTTAGACCTCTCTGAGGATTTCGTTGGAAACGGGATCAACTTCCCATAACTGAACGGAAGCAAACTCAGAACATTCTTTGTGATGTTTGTATTCAACTCACAGAGTTGAACCTTCCTTTGATAGTTCAGGTTTGCAACACCCTTGTAGTAGAATCTGCAAGTGTATATTTTGACCACTTTGTAGCCTTCGTTTGAAACGTCTATATCTTCACATCAAACCTAGACAGAAGCATTCTCAGAAAGTTTTCTGCGATGACTGCATTCCACTCACAGAGTTGAACAATCCTTCTGATGGAGCAGTTTTGAAACCCTCTTTCTTTGGAATCTGCAAGGGGATATGTGGACCTCTTTGAAGATTTCACTGGAAACGGGATCATCTTCACATAAAAACTAAACAGAAGCATTCTCGGAAACTACTTTGTGATGTTTGTATTCAACTCCCAGAGTTGAACTTTCCTTTTGAAAGAGCAGCTATGAAACACTCTTTTTCGAGAATCTGCAAGTGGACGTTTGGAGGGCTTTGAGGCCTGTGGTGGAAAAGGAAATATCTTCACATAAAAACTAGATAGAAGCATTCTCAGAAACGACATTGAGGATGGCATTCAACACATGGAGTTGGACAATCCTATTGATAGAGCAGATTGGAATCACTCTTTTTGTAGAATCTGCAAATGGAGATTTGGACTGCTTTGAGGCCTACGGTAGTATAGGAAGGAACTTCATATAAACGGCAAACGGAAGCATTCTCAGAATATTCTTTGTGATGATGGAGTTTCACTCACAGAGCTGAACATGCCTTTTGATGGAGCAGTTTCCAAATACACTTTTGGTAGAATCTGCAGGTGGATATTTGGAGCTCTCTGAGGATTTCGTTGGAAACGGGAATAATTTCCCATAACTAAACACAAACACTCTGAGAAAGTTCTTCATGATGAATGCATTTAACTCGCAGAGATGAACCTGCCTTTGAGAGTTCAGGTTCGAAACACTCTTTCTGTAGAATCTGCAAGTGGATATTTGGACCACTGGGTGGCCTTCGTTCGAAACGGGTATATGTTCACGTAAAAACTAAAGAGAAGCATTCTCAGAAACTTCTGAGTGATGATTGCATTCAAGTCACACAGTTGAACCCTCCTTTTGATGGAGCAGTTTTGAAACTGTCTTTTTGTAGAATCTGTAAGTGGACACGTGGACCTCTTTGAAGATTTCTTTGGAAACGGGAATATTTCCACAGAAAAACTAAACTGAAGCATTCTCAGAAACTGCTTTGTGATGTTTGTGTTCGAGCCACAGAGTTTAACATTGCTTTTCATAGAGCAGTTTTGCAATATTCTTTTCACAGAATCTGCAAGTGGACATTTGGAGCGCTTTCAGGCCTGTGGTGGAAAAGGCCTGAAAGCCTTTTCCTTTATCTTCACAGAAAGACGAGAGAGAAGCATTGTCAGAAACTTCTTTGTGATGATTGCATTCAACTCACAGAGTTGAAGATTCCTTTTGAAACAGCAGTTTCGAAACACTCTTTCTGTGGGATCCGCAAGGGGATATTTGGACCTCTTTGAAGGTTTCGTTGGAAACGGGATAATCTTCACCTAAAAGCTAAACGGAAGCATTCTCAGAAACTTCTTTGGGATGTTTGCATTCACCTCACAGAGTTGAACTTTCCCTTTGATAGCGCAGCTTTGACACACTTTTTCTACAATGTGCAAGTGGCTATTTAGCGGGCTAGGAGGACTGTGTTGGAAAAGGAAATATCTTCTCCTAAAAACGACATAGAAGCATTCTCAGAAACTGCTCTGTGATGATTGCATTCAACTCCCAGAGTTGAACATTCCTTTTGATAGAGCAGTTTGCAAACACTCTTTTTGTAGAATCTGCAAGTGGAGATTTGGACCGCTTTGAGGCCTGTGGTAGTGAAGGAAAGAACTTCATATAAAAACCAGACGGTAGCACTCTCAGAAAATTCTTTGTGACGATGGAGTTTAACTCAGGGAGCTGAACATTCGTTATGATGGAGCAGTTTCCAAACACACGTTTTGTAGAATCTGCAAGGGGATATTTGGACCTCTCTGAGGATTTCGTTGGAAACGGGATCAACTTCCCATAACTGAACGGAAGCAAACTCAGAACATTCTTTGTGATGTTTGTATTCAACTCACAGAGTTGAACCTTCCTTTGATAGTTCAGGTTTGCAACACCCTTGTAGTAGAATCTGCAAGTGTATATTTTGACCACTTTGTAGCCTTCATTTGAAACGTCTATATCTTCACATCAAACCTAGACAGAAGCATTCTCAGAAAGTTTTCTGCGATGACTGCATTCAACTCACAGAGTTGAACAATCCTTCTGATGGAGCAGTTTTGAAACCCTCTTTCTTTGGAATCTGCAAGGGGATATGTGGACCTCTTTGAAGATTTCACTGGAAACGGGATCATCTTCACATAAAAACTAAACAGAAGCATTCTCGGAAACTACTTTGTGATGTTTGTATTCAACTCCCAGAGTTGAACTTTCCTTTTGAAAGAGCAGCTATGAAACACTCTTTTTCGAGAATCTGCAAGTGGACGTTTGGAGGGCTTTGAGGCCTGTGGTGGAAAAGGAAATATCTTCACATAAAACTAGATAGAAGCATTCTCAGAAACTACTTTGTGAGGATGGCATTCAACTCATGGAGTTGAACAATCCTATTGATAGAGCAGATTGGAATCACTCTTTTTGTAGAATCTGCAAATGGAGATTTGGACTGCTTTGAGGCCTACGGTCGTATAGGAAGGAACTTCATATAAAAGGCAAACGGAAGCATTCTCAGAATATTCTTTGTGATGATGGAGTTTCACTCACAGAGCTGAACATGCCTTGTGATGGAGCAGTTTCCAAATACACTTTTGGTAGAATCAGCAGGTGGATATTTGGAGCTCTCTGAGGATTTCGTTGGAAACGGGAATAATTTCCCATAACTAAACACAAACACTCTGAGAAAGTTCTTCATGATGAATGCATTTAACTTGCAGAGATGAACCTGCCTTTGAGAGTTCAGGTTCGAAACACTCTTTCTGTAGAATCTGCAAGTGGATATTTGGACCACTGGGTGGCCTTCGTTCGAAACGGGTATATGTTCACGTAAAAACTAAAGAGAAGCATTCTCAGAAACTTCTGAGTGATGATTGCATTCAAGTCACACAGTTGAACCCTCCTTTTGATGGAGCAGTTTTGAAACTGTCTTTTTATAGAATCTGTAAGTGGATACGTGGACCTCTTTGAAGATTTCTTTGGAAACGGGAATATTTCCACAGAAAAACTAAACTGAAGCATTCTCAGAAACTGCTTTGTGATGTTTGTGTTCAAGCCACAGAGTTTAACATTGCTTTTCATAGAGCAGTTTTGAACTATTCTTTTGGCAGAATCTGCAAGTGGACATTTGGAGCGCTTTCAGGCCTGTGGTGGAAAAGGCCTGAAAGCCTTTTCCTTTATCTTCACAGAAAGACGAGAGAGAAGCATTGTCAGAAACTTCTTTGTGATGATTGCATTCAACCCACAGAGTTGAAGATTCCTTTTGAAACAGCAGTTTCGAAACACTCTTTCTGTGGGATCCGCAAGGGGATATTTGGACCTCTTTGAAGATTTCGTTGGAAACGGGATAATCTTCACCTAAAAGCTAAACGGAAGCATTCTCAGAAACTTCTTTGGGATGTTTGCATTCACCTCACAGAGTTGAACTTTCCCTTTGATAGCGCAGCTTCGACACACTTTTTCTCCAATGTGCAAGTGGATATTTAGCGGGCTTGGAGGACTGTGTTGGAAAAGGAAATATCTTCTCCTAAAAACGACATAGAAGCATTCTCAGAAACTGCTCTGTGATGATTGCATTCAACTCCCAGAGTTGAACATTCCTTTTGATAGAGCAGTTTGCAAACACTCTTTTTGTAGAATCTGCAAGTGGAGATTTGGACCGCTTTGAGGCCTGTGGTAGTGAAGGAAAGAACTTCATATAAAAACCAGACGGTAGCACTCTCAGAAAATTCTTTGTGACGATGGAGTTTAACTCAGGGAGCTGAACATTCGTTATGATGGAGCAATTTCCAAACACACGTTTTGTAGAATCTGTGAGGGGATATTTGGACCTCTCTGAGGATTTCGTTGGAAACGGGATCAACTTCCCATAACTGAACGGAAGCAAACTCAGAACATTCTTTGTGATGTTTGTATTCAACTCACAGAGTTGAACCTTCCTTTGATAGTTCAGGTTTGCAACACCCTTGTAGTAGAATCTGCAAGTGTATATTTTGACCACTTTGTAGCCTTCGTTTGAAACGTCTATATCTTCACATCAAACCTAGACAGAAGCATTCTCAGAAAGTTTTCTGCGATGACTGCATTCAACTCACAGAGTTGAACAATCCTTCTGATGGAGCAGTTTTGAAACCCTCTTTCTTTGGAATCTGCAAGGGGATATGTGGACCTCTTTGAAGATTTCACTGGAAACGGGATCATCTTCACATAAAAACTAAACAGAAGCATTCTCGGAAACTACTTTGTGATGTTTGTATTCAACTCCCAGAGTTGAAATTTCCTTTTGAAAGAGCAGCTATGAAACACTCTTTTTCGAGAAACTGCAAGTGGACGTTTGGAGGGCTTTGAGGCCTGTGGTGGAAAAGGAAATATCTTCACATAAAAACTAGATAGAAGCATTCTCAGAAACGACTTTGTGAGGATGGCATTCAACTCATGGAGTTGAACAATCCTATTGATAGAGCAGATTGGAATCACTCTTTTTGTAGAATCTGCAAATGGAGATTTGGACTGCTTTGAGGCCTACGGTCGTATAGGAAGGAACTTCATATAAAAGGCAAACGGAAGCATTCTCAGAATATTCTTTGTGATGATGGAGTTTCACTCACAGAGCTGAACATGCCTTTTGATGGAGCAGTTTCCAAATACACTTTTGGTAGAATCTGCAGGTGGATATTTGGAGCTCTCTGAGGATTTCGTTGGAAACGGGAATAATTTCCCATAACTAAACACAAACACTCTGAGAAAGTTCTTCATGATGAATGCATTTAACTTGCAGAGATGAACTTGCCTTTGAGAGTTCAGGTTCGAAACACTCTTTCTGTATAATCTGCAAGTGGATATTTGGACCACTGGGTGGCCTTCGTTCGAAACGGGTATATGTTCACGTAAAAACTAAAGAGAAGCATTCTCAGAAACTTCTGAGTGATGATTGCATTCAAGTCACACAGTTGAACCCTCCTTTTGATGGAGCAGTTTTGAAACTGTCTTTTTGTAGAATCTGTAAGTGGATACGTGGACCTCTTTGAAGATTTCTTTGGAAACGGGAATATTTCCACAGAAAAACTAAACTGAAGCATTCTCAGAAACCGCTTTGTGATGTTTGTGTTCGAGCCGCAGAGTTTAACATTGCTTTTCATAGAGCAGTTTTGAAATATTCTTTTGGCAGAATCTGCAAGTGGACATTTGGAACGCTTTGAGGCCTGTGGTGGCAAAGGCCTGAAAGCCTTTTCCTTTATCTTCACAGAAAGACGAGAGAGAAGCATTGTCAGAAACTTCTTTGTGATGATTGCATTCAACTCACAGAGTTGAAGATTCCTTTTGAAACAGCAGTTTCGAAACACTCTTTCTGTGGGATCCGCAAGGGGATATTTGGACCTCTTTGAAGGTTTCGTTGGAAACGGGATAATCTTCACCTAAAAGCTAAACGGAAGCATTCTCAGAAACTTCTTTGGGATGTTTGCATTCACCTCACAGAGTTGAACTTTCCCTTTGATAGCGCAGCTTTGACACACTTTTTCTACAATGTGCAAGTGGCTATTTAGCGGGCTTGGAGGACTGTGTTGGAAAAGGAAATATCTTCTCCTAAAAACGACATAGAAGCATTCTCAGAAACTGCTCTGTGATGATTGCATTCAACTCCCAGAGTTGAACATTCCTTTTGATAGAGCAGTTTGCAAACACTCTTTTTGTAGAATCTGCAAGTGGAGATTTGGACCGCTTTGAGGCCTGTGGTAGTGAAGGAAAGAACTTCATATAAAAACCAGACGGTAGCACTCTCAGAAAATTCTTTGTGACGATGGAGTTTAACTCAGGGAGCTGAACATTCGTTATGATGGAGCAGTTTCCAAACACACGTTTTGTAGAATCTGCAAGGGGATATTTGGACCTCTCTGAGGATTTCGTTGGAAACGGGATCAACTTCCCATAACTGAACGGAAGCAAACTCAGAACATTCTTTGTGATGTTTGTATTCAACTCACAGAGTTGAACCTTCCTTTGATAGTTCAGGTTTGCAACACCCTTGTAGTAGAATCTGCAAGTGTATATTTTGACCACTGTGTAGCCTTCGTTTGAAACGTCTATATCTTCACATCAAACCTAGACAGAAGCATTCTCAGAAAGTTTTCTGCGATGACTGCATTCAACTCACAGAGTTGAACAATCCTTTTGATGGAGCAGTTTTGAAACCCTCTTTCTTTGGAATCTGCAAGGGGATATGTGGACCTACTTTGAAGATTTCACTGGAAACGGGATCATCTTCACATAAGAACTAAACAGAAAGCATTCTCTGAAACTACTTTGTGATGTTTGTATTCAACTGCCAGAGTTGAACTTTCCTTTTGAAAGAGCAGCTATGAAACACTCTTTTTCGAGAATCTGCAAGTGGACGTTTGGAGGGCTTTGAGGCCTGTGGTGGAAAAGGAAATATCTTCACACAAAAACCAGATAGAAGCATTCTCAGAAACTACTTTGTGAGGATGGCATTCAACTCATGGAGTTGAACAATCCTATTGATAGAGAAGATTGGAATCACTCTTTTTGTAGAATCTGCAAATGGAGATTTGGACTGCTTTGAGGCCTACGGTAGTACAGGAAGGAAGTTCATATAAAAGGCAAACGGAAGCATTCTCAGAATATTCTTTGTGATGATGGAGTTTCACTCACAGAGCTGAACATGCCTTTTGATGGAGCAGTTTCCAAATACACTTTTGGTAGAATCTGCAGGTGGATATTTGGAGCTCTCTGAGGATTTCGTTGGAAACGGGAATAATTTCCCATAACTAAACACAAACACTCTGAGAAAGTTCTTGATGATGAATGCATTTAACTCGCAGAGATGAACCTGCCTTTGAGAGTTCAGGTTCGAAACACTCTTTCTGTAGAATCTGCAAGTGGATATTTGGACCACAGGGTGGCGTTCGTTCGAAACGGGTATATGTTCACGTAAAAACTAAAGAGAAGCATTCTCAGAAACTTCTGAGTGATGATTGCATTCAAGTCACACAGTTGAACCCTCCTTTTGATGGAGCAGTTTTGAAACTGTCTTTTTGTAGAATCTGTAAGTGGATACGTGGACCTCTTTGAAGATTTCTTTGGAAACGGGAATATTTCCACAGAAAAACTAAACTGAAGCATTCTCAGAAACTGCTTTGTGATGTTTGTGTTCGAGCGACAGAGTTTAACATTGCTTTTCATAGAGCAGTTTTGAAATATTCTTTTGGCAGAATCTGCAAGTGGACATTTGGAGCGCTTTCAGGCCTGTGGTGGAAAAGGCCTGAAAGCCTTTTCCTTTATCTTCACAGAAAGACGAGAGAGAAGCATTGTCAGAAACTTCTTTGTGATGATTGCATTCAACTCACAGAGTTGAAGATTCCTTTTCAAACAGCAGTTTCGAAACACTCTTTCTGTGGGATCCGCAAGGGGATATTTGGACCTCTTTGAAGGTTTCGTTGGAAACGGGATAATCTTCACCTAAAAGCTAAACGGAAGCATTCTCAGAAACTTCTTTGGGATGTTTGCATTCACCTCACAGAGTTGAACTTTCCCTTTGATAGCGCAGCTTTGACACACTTTTTCTACAATGTGCAAGTGGCTATTTAGCGGGCTTGGAGGACTGTGTTGGAAAAGGAAATATCTTCTCCTAAAAACGACATAGAAGCATTCTCAGAAACTGCTCTGTGATGATTGCATTCAACTCCCAGAGTTGAACATTCCTTTTGATAGAGCAGTTTGCAAACACTCTTTTTGTAGAATCTGCAAGTGGAGATTTGGACCGCTTTGAGGCCTGTGGTAGTGAAGGAAAGAACTTCATATAAAAACCAGACGGTAGCACTCTCAGAAAATTCTTTGTGACGATGGAGTTTAACTCAGGGAGCTGAACATTCGTTATGATGGAGCAGTTTCCAAACACACGTTTTGTAGAATCTGCAAGGGGATATTTGGACCTCTCTGAGGATTTCGTTGGAAACGGGATCAACTTCCCATAACTGAACGGAAGCAAACTCAGAACATTCTTTGTGATGTTTGTATTCAACTCACAGAGTTGAACCTTCCTTTGATAGTTCAGGTTTGCAACACCCTTGTAGTAGAATCTGCAAGTGTATATTTTGACCACTTTGTAGCCTTCGTTTGAAACGTCTATATCTTCACATCAAACCTAGACAGAAGCATTCTCAGAAAGTTTTCTGCGATGACTGCATTCAACTCACAGAGTTGAACAATCCTTCTGATGGAGCAGTTTTGAAACCCTCTTTCTTTGGAATCTGCAAGGGGATATGTGGACCTCTTTGAAGATTTCACTGGAAACGGGATCATCTTCACATAAAAACTAAACAGAAGCATTCTCGGAAACTACTTTGTGATGTTTGTATTCAACTCCCAGAGTTGAACTTTCCTTTTGAAAGAGCAGCTATGAAACACTCTTTTTCGAGAATCTGCAAGTGGACGTTTGGAGGGCTTTGAGGCCTGTGGTGGAAAAGGAAATATCTTCACACAAAAACCAGATAGAAGCATTCTCAGAAACTACTTTGTGAGGATGGCATTCAACTCATGGAGTTGAACAATCCTATTGATAGAGCAGATTGGAATCACTCTTTTTGTAGAATCTGCAAATGGAGATTTGGACTGCTTTGAGGCCTACGGTAGTACAGGAAGGAACTTCATATAAAAGGCAAACGGAAGCATTCTCAGAATATTCTTTGTGATGATGGAGTTTCACTCACAGAGCTGAACATGCCTTTTGATGGAGCAGTTTCCAAATACACTTTTGGTAGAATCTGCAGGTGGATATTTGGAGCTCTCTGAGGATTTCGTTGGAAACGGGAATAATTTCCCATAACTAAACACAAACACTCTGAGAAAGTTCTTCATGATGAATGCATTTAACTCGCAGAGATGAACCTGCCTTTGAGAGTTCAGGTTCGAAACACTCTTTCTGTATAATCTGCAAGTGGATATTTGGACCACTGGGTGGCCTTCGTTCGAAACGGGTATATGTTCACGTAAAAACTAAAGAGAAGCATTCTCAGAAACTTCTGAGTGATGATTGCATTCAAGTCACACGGTTGAACCCTCCTTTTGATGGAGCAGTTTTGAAACTGTCTTTTTGTAGAATCTGTAAGTGGATGCGTGGACCTCTTTGAAGATTTCTTTGGAAACGGGAATATTTCCACAGAAAAACTAAACTGAAGCATTCTCAGAAACCGCTTTGTGATGTTTGTGTTCGAGCCGCAGAGTTTAACATTGCTTTTCATAGAGCAGTTTTGAAATATTCTTTTGGCAGAATCTGCAAGTGGACATTTGGAGCGCTTTCAGGCCTGTGGTGGAAAAGGCCTGAAAGCCTTTTCCTTTATCTTCACAGAAAGACGAGAGAGAAGCATTGTCAGAAACTTCTTTGTGATGATTGCATTCAACTCACAGAGTTGAGGATTCCTTTTGAAACAGCAGTTTCGAAACACTCTTTCTGTGGGATCCGCAAGGGGATATTTGGACCTCTTTGAAGGTTTCGTTGGAAACGGGATAATCTTCACCTAAAAGCTAAACGGAAGCATTCTCAGAAACTTCTTTGGGATGTTTGCATTCACCTCACAGAGTTGAACTTTCCCTTTGATAGCGCAGCTTTGACACACTTTTTCTACAATGTGCAAGTGGCTATTTAGCGGGCTTGGAGGACTGTGTTGGAAAAGGAAATATCTTCTCCTAAAAACGACATAGAAGCATTCTCAGAAACTGCTCTGTGATGATTGCATTCAACTCCCAGAGTTGAACATTCCTTTTGATAGAGCAGTTTGCAAACACTCTTTTTGTAGAATCTGCAAGTGGAGATTTGGACCGCTTTGAGGCCTGTGGTAGTGAAGGAAAGAACTTCATATAAAAACCAGACGGTAGCACTCTCAGAAAATTCTTTGTGACGATGGAGTTTAACTCAGGGAGCTGAACATTCGTTATGATGGAGCAGTTTCCAAACACACGTTTTGTAGAATCTGCGAGGGGATATTTGGACCTCTCTGAGGATTTCGTTGGAAACGGGATCAACTTCCCATAACTGAACGGAAGCAAACTCAGAACATTCTTTGTGACGTTTGTATTCAACTCACAGAGTTGAACCTTCCTTTGATAGTTCAGGTTTGCAACACCCTTGTAGTAGAATCTGCAAGTGTATATTTTGACCACTTTGTAGCCTTCGTTTGAAACGTCTATATCTTCACATCAAACCTAGACAGAAGCATTCTCAGAAAG
Organism: Homo sapiens; assembly: GCF_000001405.40. Classification (NCBI taxonomy): domain Eukaryota; kingdom Metazoa; phylum Chordata; class Mammalia; order Primates; family Hominidae; genus Homo; species Homo sapiens. Next base: position 60,349,952 of record NC_000023.11, read on the forward strand.
TTTTCTGCGATGACTGCATTCAACTCACAGAGTTGAACAATCCTTCTGATGGAGCAGTTTTGAAACCCTCTTTCTTTGGAATCTGCAAGGGGATATGTGGACCTCTTTGAAGATTTCACTGGAAACGGGATCATCTTCACATAAAAACTAAACAGAAGCATTCTCGGAAACTACTTTGGGATGTTTGTATTCAACTCCCAGAGTTGAACTTTCCTTTTGAAAGAGCAGCTATGAAACACTCTTTTTCGAGAATCTGCAAGTGGACGTTTGGAGGGCTTTGAGGCCTGTGGTGGAAAAGGAAATATCTTCACATAAAAACTAGATAGAAGCATTCTCAGAAACTACTTTGTGAGGATGGCATTCAACTCATGGAGTTGAACAATCCTATTGATAGAGCAGATTGGAATCACTCTTTTTGTAGAATCTGCAAATGGAGATTTGGACTGCTTTGAGGCCTACGGTAGTATAGGAAGGAACTTCATATAAAAGGCAAACGGAAGCATTCTCAGAATATTCTTTGTGATGATGGAGTTTCACTCACAGAGCTGAACATGCCTTTTGATGGAGCAGTTTCCAAATACACTTTTGGTAGAATCTGCAGGTGGATATTTGGAGCTCTCTGAGGATTTCGTTGGAAACGGGAATAATTTCCCATAACTAAACACAAACACTCTGAGAAAGTTCTTCATGATGAATGCATTTAACTCGCAGAGATGAACCTGCCTTTGAGAGTTCAGGTTCGAAACACTCTTTCTGTAGAATCTGCAAGTGGATATTTGGACCACTGGCTGGCCTTCGTTCGAAACGGGTATATGTTCACGTAAAAACTAAAGAGAAGCATTCTCAGAAACTTCTGAGTGATGATTGCATTCAAGTCACACAGTTGAACCCTCCTTTTGATGGAGCAGTTTTGAAACTGTCTTTTTGTAGAATCTGTAAGTGGATACGTGGACCTCTTTGAAGATTTCTTTGGAAACGGGAATATTTCCACAGAAAAACTAAACTGAAGCATTCTCAGAAACTGCTTTGTGATGTTTGTGTTCGAGCCACAGAGTTTAACATTGCTTTTCATAGAGCAGTTTTGAAATATTCTTTTGGCAGAATCTGCAAGTGGACATTTGGAGCGCTTTCAGGCCTGTGGTGGAAAAGGCCTGAAAGCCTTTTCCTTTATCTTCACAGAAAGACGAGAGAGAAGCATTGTCAGAAACTTCTTTGTGATGATTGCATTCAACTCACAGAGTTGAAGATTCCTTTTGAAACAGCAGTTTCGAAACACTCTTTCTGTGGGATCCGCAAGGGGATATTTGGACCTCTTTGAAGGTTTCGTTGGAAACGGGATAATCTTCACCTAAAAGCTAAACGGAAGCATTCTCAGAAACTTCTTTGGGATGTTTGCATTCACCTCACAGAGTTGAACTTTCCCTTTGATAGCGCAGCTTTGACACACTTTTTCTACAATGTGCAAGTGGCTATTTAGCGGGCTTAGAGGACTGTGTTGGAAAAGGAAATATCTTCTCCTAAAAACGACATAGAAGCATTCTCAGAAACTGCTCTGTGATGATTGCATTCAACTCCCAGAGTTGAACATTCCTTTTGATAGAGCAGTTTGCAAACACTCTTTTTGTAGAATCTGCAAGTGGAGATTTGGACCGCTTTGAGGCCGGTGGTAGTAAAGGAAAGAACTTCATATAAAACTAGACGGTAGCAGTCTCAGAAAATTGTTTGTGACGATGGAGTTTAACTCAGAGAGCTGAACATTCGTTATGATGGAGCAGTTTCCAAACACACGTTTTGTAGAATCTGCAAGGGGATATTTGGACCTCTCTGAGGATTTCGTTGGAAACGGGATCAACTTCCCATAACTGAACGGAAGCAAACTCAGAACATTCTTTGTGATGTTTGTATTCAACTCACAGAGTTGAACCTTCCTTTGATAGTTCAGGTTTGCATCACCCTTGTAGTAGAATCTGCAAGTGTATATTTTGACCACTTTGTAGCCTTCGTTTGAAACGTCTATATCTTCACATCAAACCTAGACAGAAGCATTCTCAGAAAGTTTTCTGCGATGACTGCATTCAACTCACAGAGTTGAACAATCCTTTTGATGGAGCAGTTTTGAAACCCTCTTTCTTTGGAATCTGCAAGGGGATATGTGGACCTCTTTGAAGATTTCACTGGAAACGGGATCATCTTCACATAAGAACTAAACAGAAGCATTCTCGGAAACTACTTTGTGATGTTTGTATTCACCTCCCAGAGTTGAACTTTCCTTTTGAAAGAGCAGCTATGAAACACTCTTTTTCGAGAATCTGCATGTGGACGTTTGGAGGGCTTTGAGGCCTGTGGTGGAAAAGGAAATATCTTCACATAAAAACTAGATAGAAGCATTCTCAGAAACTACTTTGTGAGGATGGCATTCAACTCATGGAGTTGAACAATCCTATTGATAGAGCAGATTGGAATCACTCTTTTTGTAGAATCTGCAAATGGAGATTTGGACTGCTTTGAGACCTACGGTAGTATAGGAAGGAACTTCATATAAAAGGCAAACGGAAGCATTCTCAGAATATTCTTTGTGATGATGGAGTTCCACTCACAGAGCTGAACATGCCTTTTCATGGAGCAGTTTCGAAATACACTTTTCGTAGAATCTGCAGGTGGATATTTGGACCTCTCTGAGGATTTCGTTGGAAACGGGAATAATTTCCCATAACTAAACACAAACACGCTGAGAAAGTTCTTCATGATGAATGCATTTAACTCGCAGAGATGAACCTGCCTTTGAGAGTTCAGGTTCGAAACACTCTTTCTGTAGAATCTACAAGTGGATATTTGGACCACTGGCTGGCCTTCGTTCGAAACGGGTATATGTTCACGTAAAAACTAAAGAGAAGCATTCTCAGAAACTTCTGAGTGATGATTGCATTCAAGTCACACAGTTGAACCCTCCTTTTGATTGAGCAGTTTTGAAACTGTCTTTTTGTGGAATCTGTAAGTGGATGCGTGGACCTCTTTGAAGATTTCTTTGGAAACGGGAATATTTCCACAGAAAAACTATACTGAAGCATTCTCAGAAACTGCTTTGTGATGTTTGTGTTCGAGCCACAGAGTTTAACATTGCTTTTCATAGAGCAGTTTTGCAATATTCTTTTCACAGAATCTGCAAGTGGACATTTGGAGCGCTTTCAGGCCTGTGGTGGGAAAAGGCCTGAAAGCCTTTTCCTTTATCTTCACAGAAAGACGAGAGAGAAGCATTGTCAGAAACTTCTTTGTGATGATTGCATTCAAGTCACAGAGTTGAAGATTCCTTTTGAAACAGCAGTTTCGAAACACTCTTTCTGTGGGATCCGCAAGGGGATATTTGGACCTCTTTGAAGATTTCGTTGGAAACGGGATAATCTTCACCTAAAAGCTAAACGGAAGCATTCTCAGAAACTTCTTTGGGATGTTTGCATTCACCTCACAGAGTTGAACTTTCCCTTTGATAGCGCAGCTTCGACACACTTTTTCTACAATGTGCAAGTGGATATTTAGTGGGCTTGGAGGACTGTGTTGGAAAAGGAAATATCTTCTCCTAAAAACGACATAGAAGCATTCTCAGAAACTGCTCTGTGATGATTGCATTCAACTCCCAGAGTTGAACATTCCTAATGATAGAGCAGTTTGCAAACACTCTTTTTGTAGAATCTGCAAGTGGAGATTTGGACCGCTTTGAGGCCTGTGGTAGTAAAGGAAAGAACTTCATATAAAAACCAGACGGTAGCACTCTCAGAAAATTCTTTGTGACGATGGAGTTAAACTCAGAGAGCTGAACATTCTTTATGATGGAGCAGTTTCCAAACACACGTTTTGTAGAATCTGCAAGGGGATATTTGGACCTCTCTGAGGATTTCGTTGGAAATGGGATCAACTTCCCATAACTGAACGGAAGCAAACTCAGAACATTCTTTGTGATGTTTGTATTCAACTCACAGAGTTGAACCTTCCTTTGATAGTTCAGGTTTGCAACACCCTTGTAGTAGAATCTGCAAGTGTATATTTTGACCACTTTGTAGCCTTCGTTTGAAACGTCTATATCTTCACCTCAAACCTAGACAGAAGCATTCTCAGAAAGTTTTCTGCGATGACTGCATTCAACTCACAGAGTTGAACAATCCTTTCGATGGAGCAGTTTTGAAACCCTCTTTCTTTGGAATCTGCAAGGGGATATGTGGACCTCTTTGAAGATTTCACTGGAAACGGGATCATCTTCACATAAGAACTAAACAGAAGCATTCTCGGAAACTACTTTGTGATGTTTGTATTCAACTCCCAGAGTTGAACTTTCCTTTTGAAAGAGCGGCTATGAAACACTCTTTTTCGAGAATCTGCAAGTTGACGTTTGGAGGGCTTTGAGGCCTGTGGTGGAAAAGGAAATATCTTCACATAAAAACTAGATAGAAGCATTCTCAGAAACTACTTTGTGAGGATGGCATTCAACTCATGGAGTTGAACAATCCTATTGATAGAGCAGATTGGAATCACTCTTTTTGTAGAATCTGCAAATGGAGATTTGGACTGCTTTGAGGCCTACGGTCGTATAGGAAGGAACTTCAGATAAAAGGCAAACGGAAGCATTCTCAGAATATTCTTTGTGATGATGGAGTTTCACTCACAGAGCTGAACATGCCTTTTGATGGAGCAGTTTCCAAATACACTTTTGGTAGAATCAGCAGGTGGATATTTGGAGCTCTCTGAGGATTTCGTTGGAAACGGGAATAATTTCCCATAACTAAACACAAACACTCTGAGAAAGTTCTTCATGATGAATGCATTTAACTTGCAGAGATGAACCTGCCTTTGAGAGTTCAGGTTCGAAACACTCTTTCTGTAGAATCTGCAAGTGGATATTTGGACCACTGGGTGGCCTTCGTTCGAAACGGGTATATGTTCACGTAAAAACTAAAGAGAAGCATTCTCAGAAACTTCTGAGTGATGATTGCATTCAAGTCACACAGTTGAACCCTCCTTTTGATGGAGCAGTTTTGAAACTGTCTTTTTGTAGAATCTGTAAGTGGATACGTGGACCTCTTTGAAGATTTCTTTGAAAACGGGAATATTTCCACAGAAAAACTAAACTGAAGCATTCTCAGAAACTGCTTTGTGATGTTTGTGTTCGAGCCACAGAGTTTAACATTGCTTTTCATAGAGCAGTTTTGAAATATTCTTTTGGCAGAATCTGCAAGTGGACATTTGGAGCGCTTTCAGGCCTGTGGTGGAAAAGGCCTGAAAGCCTTTTCCTTTATCTTCACAGAAAGACGAGAGAGAAGCATTGTCAGAAACTTCTTTGTGATGATTGCATTCAACTCACAGAGTTGAAGATTCCTTTTGAAACAGCAGTTTTGAAACACTCTTTCTGTGGGATCCGCAAGGGGATATTTGGACCTCTTTGAAGGTTTCGTTGGAAACGGGATAATCTTCACCTAAAAGCTAAACGGAAGCATTCTCAGAAACTTCTTTGGGATGTTTGCATTCACCTCACAGAGTTGAACTTTCCCTTTGATAGCGCAGCTTTGACACACTTTTTCTACAATGTGCAAGTGGCTATTTAGCGGGCTTGGAGGACTGTGTTGGAAAAGGAAATATCTTCTCCTAAAAACGACATAGAAGCATTCTCAGAAACTGCTCTGTGATGATTGCATTCAACTCCTAGAGTTGAACATTCCTTTTGATAGAGCAGTTTGCAAACACTCTTTTTGTAGAATCTGCAAGTGGAGATTTGGACCGCTTTGAGGCCTGTCGTAGTGAAGGAAAGAACTTCATATAAAAACCAGACGGTAGCACTCTCAGAAAATTCTTTGTGACGATGGAGTTTAACTCAGGGAGCTGAACATTCTTTATGATGGAGCAGTTTCCAAACACACGTTTTGTAGAATCTGCGAGGGGATATTTGGACCTCTCTGAGGATTTCGTTGGAAACGGGATCAACTTCCCATAACTGAACGGAAGCAAACTCAGAACATTCTTTGTGATGTTTGTATTCAACTCACAGAGTTGAACCTTCCTTTGATAGTTCAGGTTTGCAACACCCTTGTAGTAGAATCTGCAAGTGTATATTTTGACCACTTTGTAGCCTTCGTTTGAAACGTCTATATCTTCACATCAAACCTAGACAGAAGCATTCTCAGAAAGTTTTCTGCGATGACTGCATTCAACTCACAGAGTTGAACAATCCTTCTGATGGAGCAGTTTTGAAACCCTCTTTCTTTGGAATCTGCAAGGGGATATGTGGACCTCTTTGAAGATTTCACTGGAAACGGGATCATCTTCACATAAAAACTAAACAGAAGCATTCTCGGAAACTACTTTGTGATGTTTGTATTCAACTCCCAGAGTTGAACTTTCCTTTTGAAAGAGCAGCTATGAAACACTCTTTTTCGGGAATCTGCAAGTGGACGTTTGGAGGGCTTTGAGGCCTGTGGTGGAAAAGGAAATATCTTCACACAAAAACCAGATAGAAGCATTCTCAGAAACGACTTTGTGAGGATGGCATTCAACTCATGGAGTTGAACAATCCTATTGATAGAGCAGATTGGAATCACTCTTTTTATAGAATCTGCAAATGGAGATTTGGACTGCTTTGAGGCCTACGGTAGTACAGGAAGGAACTTCATATAAAAGGCAAACGGAAGCATTCTCAGAATATTCTTTGTGATGATGGAGTTTCACTCACAGAGCTGAACATGCCTTTTGATGGAGCAGTTTCCAAATACACTTTTGGTAGAATCTGCAGGTGGATATTTGGAGCTCTCTGAGGATTTCGTTGGAAACGGGAATAATTTCCCATAACTAAACACAAACACTCTGAGAAAGTTCTTCATGATGAATGCATTTAACTCGCAGAGATGAACCTGCCTTTGAGAGTTCAGGTTCGAAACACTCTTTCTGTATAATCTGCAAGTGGATATTTGGACCACTGGGTGGCCTTCGTTCGAAACGGGTATATGTTCACGTAAAAACTAAAGAGAAGCATTCTCAGAAACTTCTGAGTGATGATTGCATTCAAGTCACACAGTTGAACCCTCCTTTTGAAGGAGCAGTTTTGAAACTGTCTTTTTGTAGAATCTGTAAGTGGATACGTGGACCTCTTTGAAGATTTCTTTGGAAACGGGAATATTTCCACAGAAAAACTAAACTGAAGCATTCTCAGAAACTGCTTTGTGATGTTTGTGTTCGAGCCACAGAGTTTAACATTGCTTTTCACAAAGCAGTTTTGAAATATTCTTTTGGCAGAATCTGCAAGTGGACATTTGGAGCGCTTTCAGGCCTGTGGTGGCAAAGGCCTGAAAGCATTTATTTATCTTCACAGAAAGACGAGAGAGAAGCATTGTCAGAAACTTCTTTGTGATGATTGCATTCAACTCACAGAGTTGAAGATTCCTTTTGAAACAGCAGTTTCGAAACACTCTTTCTGTGGGATCCGCAAGGGGATATTTGGACTTCTTTGAAGGTTTCGTTGGAAACGGGATAATCTTCACCTAAAAGCTAAACGGAAGCACTCTCAGAAACTTCTTTGGGATGTTTGCATTCACCTCTCAGAGTTGAACTTTCCCTTTGATAGCGCAGCTTTGACACACTTTTTCTACAATGTGCAAGTGGCTATTTAGCGGACTTGGAGGAATGTGTTGGAAAAGGAAATATCTTCTCCTAAAAACGACATAGAAGCATTCTCAGAAACTGCTCTGTGATGATTGCATTCAACTCCCAGAGTTGAACATTCCTTTTGATAGAGCAGTTTGCAAACACTCTTTTTGTAGAATCTGCAAGTGGAGATTTTGACCGCTTTGAGGCCTGGGGTAGTAAAGGAAAGAGCTTCATATAAAAACCAGACGGTAGCACTCTCAGAAAATTCTTTGTGACGATGGAGTTTAACTCAGGGAGCTGAACATTCGTTATGATGGAGCAGTTTCCAAAAACACGTTTTGTAGAATCTGCAAGGGGATATTTGGACCTCTCTGAGGATTTCGTTGGAAACGGGATCAACTTCCCATAACTGAACGGAAGCAAACTCAGAACATTCTTTGTGATGTTTGTATTCAACTCACAGAGTTGAACCTTCCTTTGATAGTTCAGGTTTGCAACACCCTTGTAGTAGTATCTGCAAGTGTATATTTTGACCACTTTGTAGCCTTCGTTTGAAACGTCTATATCTTCACATCAAACCTAGACAGAAGCATTCTCAGAAAGTTTTCTGCGATGACAGCATTCAACTCACAGAGTTGAACAATCCTATTGATGGAGCAGTTTTGAAACCCTCTTTCTTTGGAATCTGCAAGGGGATATGTGGACCTCTTTGAAGATTTCACTGGAAACGGGATCATCTTCACATAAAAACTAAACAGAAGCATTCTCGGAAACTACTTTGTGATGTTTGTATTCAACTCCCAGAGTTGAACTTTCCTTTTTTAAGAGCAGCTATGAAACACTCTTTTTCGAGAATCTGCAAGTGGACGTTTGGAGGGCTTTGAGGCCTGTGGTGGAAAAGGAAATATCTTCACATAAAAACTAGATAGAAGCATTCTCAGAAACGACTTTGTGAGGATGGCATTCAACTCATGGAGTTGAACAATCCTATTGATAGAGCAGATTGGAATCACTCTTTTTGTAGAATCTGCAAATGGAGATTTGGACTGCTTTGAGGCCTACGGTAGTATAGGAAGGAACTTCATATAAAAGGCAAACGGAAGCATTCTCAGAATATTCTGTGTGATGATGGAGTTTCACTCACAGAGCTGAACATGCCTTTTGATGGAGCAGTTTCCAAATACACTTTTGGTAGAATCTGCAGGTGGATATTTGGACCTCTCTGAGGATTTCGTTGGAAACGGGAATAATTTCCCATAACTAAACACAAACACGCTGAGAAAGTTCTTCATGATGAATGCATTTAACTCGCAGAGATGAACCTGCCTTTTAGAGTTCAGGTTCGAAACACTCTTTCTGTAGAATCTGCAAGTGGATATTTGGACCACTGGCTGGCTTTCGTTCGAAACGGGTATATGTTCACGTAAAAACTAAAGAGAAGCGTTCTCAGAAACTTCTGAGTGATGATTGCATTCAAGTCACACAGTTGAACCCTCCTTTTGATTGAGCAGTTTTGAAACTGTCTTTTTGTAGAATCTGTAAGTGGATGCGTGGACCTCTTTGAAGATTTCTTTGGAAACGGGAATATTTCCACAGAAAAACTAAACTGAAGCATTCTCAGAAACGGCTTTGTGATGTTTGTGTTCGAGCCACAGAGTTTAACATTGCTTTTCATAGAGCAGTTTTGAAATATTCTTTTGGCAGAATCTGCAAGTGGACATTTGGAGCGCTTTCAGGCCTGTGGTGGAAAAGGCCTGAAAGCCTTTTCCTTTATCTTCACAGAAAGACGAGAGAGAAGCATTGTCAGAAACTTCTTTGTGATGATTGCATTCAACTCACAGAGTTGAAGATTCCTTTTGAAACAGCAGTTTCGAAACACTCTTTCTGTGGGATCCGCAAGGGGATATTTGGACCTCTTTGAAGATTTCGTTGGAAACGGGATAATCTTCACCTAAAAGCTAAACGGAAGCATTCTCAGAAACTTCTTTGGGATGTTTGCATTCACCTCACAGAGTTGAACTTTCCCTTTGATAGCGCAGCTTCGACACACTTTTTCTACAATGTGCAAGTGGATATTTAGCGGGCTTGGAGGACTGTGTTGGAAAAGGAAATATCTTCTCCTAAAAACGACATAGAAGCATTCTCAGAAACTGCTCTGTGATGATTGCTTTCAACTCCCAGAGTTGAACATTCCTTTTGATAGAGCAGTTTGCAAACACTCTTTTTGTAGAATCTGCAAGTGGAGATTTGGACCGCTTTGAGGCCTGTGGTAGTAAAGGAAAGAACTTCATATAAAAACTAGACGGTAGCACTCTCAGAAAATTCTTTGTGACGATGGAGTTTAACTCAGAGAGCTGAACATTCGTTATGATGGAGCAGTTTCCAAACACACGTTTTGTAGAATCTGCAAGGGGATATTTGGACCTCTCTGAGGATTTCGTTGGAAACGGTATCAATTTCCCATAACTGAACGGAAGCAAACTCAGAACATTTTTTGTGATGGTTGCATTCATCTCACAGAGTTGAACCTTCCTTTGATAGTTGAGGTTTGCATCACCCTTGTAGTAGAATCTGCAAGTGTATATTTTGACCACTTTGTAGCCTTCGTTTGAAACGTCTATATCTTCACATCAAACCTAGACAGAAGCATTCTCAGAAAGTTTTCTGCGATGACTGCATTCAACTCACAGAGTTGAACAATCCTTTTGATGGAGCAGTTTTGAAACCCTCTTTCTTTGGAATCTGCAAGGGGATATGTGGACCTCTTTGAAGATTTCACTGGAAACGGGATCATCTTCACATAAGAACTAAACAGAAGCATTCTCGGAAACTACTTTGTGATGTTTGTATTCAACTCCCAGAGTTGAACTTTCCTTTTGAAAGAGCAGCTATGAAACACTCTTTTTCGAGAATCTGCAAGTGGACGTTTGGAGGGCTTTGAGGCCTGTGGTGGAAAAGGAAATATCTTCACATAAAAACTAGAATAGAAGCATTCTCAGAAACGACTTTGTGAGGATGGCATTCAACTCATGGAGTTGAACAATCCTATTGATAGAGCAGATTGGAATCACTCTTTTTGTAGAATCTGCAAATGGAGATTTGGACTGCTTTGAGGCCTACGGTAGTATAGGAAGGAACTTCATATAAAAGGCAAACGGAAGCATTCTCAGAATATTCTTTGTGATGATGGAGTTTCACTCACAGAGCTGAACATGCCTTTTGATGGAGCAGTTTCCAAATACACTTTTGGTAGAATCTGCAGGTGGATATTTGGAGCTCTCTGAGGATTTCGTTGGAAACGGGAATAATTTCCCATAACTAAACACAAAACACTCTGAGAAAGTTCTTCATTTAGAATGCATTGAACTCGCAGAGATGAACCTGCCTTTGAGAGTTCAGGTTCGAAACACTCTTTCTGTAGAATCTGCAAGTGGATATTTGGACCACTGGCTGGCCTTCGTTCGAAACGGGTATATGTTCACGTAAAAACTAAAGAGAAGCGTTCTCAGAAACTTCTGAGTGATGAATGCATTCAAGTCACACAGTTGAACCCTCCTTTTGATTGAGCAGTTTTGAAACTGTCTTTTTGTAGAATCTGTAAGTGGATGCGTGGACCTCTTTGAAGATTTCTTTGGAAACGGGAATATTTCCACAGAAAAACTAAACTGAAGCATTCTCAGAAACTGCTTTGTGATGTTTGTGTTCGAGCCGCAGAGTTTAACATTGCTTTTCATAGAGCAGTTTTGAAATATTCTTTTGGCAGAATCTGCAAGTGGACATTTGGAGCGCTTTCAGGCCTGTGGTGGAAAAGGCCTGAAAGCCTTTTCCTTTATCTTCACAGAAAGACGAGAGAGAAGCATTGTCAGAAACTTCTTTGTGATGATTGCATTCAACTCACAGAGTTGAAGATTCCTTTTGAAACAGCAGTTTCGAAACACTCTTTCTGTGGGATCCGCAAGGGGATATTTGGATCTCTTTGAAGGTTTCGTTGGAAACTGGATAATCGTCACCTAAAAGCTAAACGGAAGCATTCTCAGAAACTTCTTTGGGATGTTTGCATTCACCTCACAGAGTTGAACTTTCCCTTTGATAGCGCAGCTTTGACACACTTTTTCTACAATGTGCAAGTGGCTATTTAGCGGGCTTGGAGGACTGTGTTGGAAAAGGAAATATCTTCTCCTAAAAACGACATAGAAGCATTCTCAGAAACTGCTCTGTGATGATTGCATTCAACTCCCAGAGTTGAACATTCCTTTTGATAGAGCAGTTTGCAAACACTCTTTTTGTAGAATCTGCAAGTGGAGATTTGGACCGCTTTGAGGCCTGTGGTAGTGAAGGAAAGAACTTCATATAAAAACCAGACGGTAGCACTCTCAGAAAATTCTTTGTGACGATGGAGTTTAACTCAGGGAGCTGAACATTCGTTATGATGGAGCAGTTTCCAAACACACGTTTTGTAGAATCTGCGAGGGGATATTTGGACCTCTCTGAGGATTTCGTTGGAAACGGGATCAACTTCCCATAACTGAACGGAAGCAAACTCAGAACATTCTTTGTGATGTTTGTATTCAACTCACAGAGTTGAACCTTCCTTTGATAGTTCAGGTTTGCAACACCCTTGTAGTAGAATCTGCAAGTGTATATTTTGACCACTTTGTAGCCTTCGTTTGAAACGTCTATATCTTCACATCAAACCTAGACAGAAGCATTCTCAGAAAGTTTTCTGCGATGACTGCATTCAACTCACAGAGTTGAACAATCCTCTGATGGAGCAGTTTTGAAACCCTCTTTCTTTGGAATCTGCAAGGGGATATGTGGACCTCTTTGAAGATTTCACTGGAAACGGGATCATCTTCACATAAAAACTAAACAGAAGCATTCTCGGAAACTACTTTGTGATGTTTGTATTCAACTCCCAGAGTTGAACTTTCCTTTTGAAAGAGCAGCTATGAAACACTCTTTTTCGAAAATCTGCAAGTGGACGTTTGGAGGGCTTTGAGGCCTGTGGTGGAAAAGGAAATATCTTCACACAAAAACCAGATAGAAGCATTCTCAGAAACTACTTTGTGAGGATGGCATTCAACTCATGGAGTTGAACAATCCTATTGATAGAGCAGATTGGAATCACTCTTTTTATAGAATCTGCAAATGGAGATTTGGACTGCTTTGAGGCCTACGGTAGTACAGGAAGGAACTTCATATAAAAGGCAAACGGAAGCATTCTCAGAATATTCTTTGTGATGATGGAGTTTCACTCACAGAGCTGAACATGCTTTTTGATGGAGCAGTTTCCAAATACACTTTTGGTAGAATCTGCAGGTGGATATTTGGAGCTCTCTGAGGATTTCGTTGGAAACGGGAATAATTTCCCATAACTAAACACAAACACTCTGAGAAAGTTCTTCATGATGAATGCATTTAACTCGCAGAGATGAACCTGCCTTTGAGAGTTCAGGTTCGAAACACTCTTTCTGTAGAATCTGCAAGTGGATATTTGGACCACTGGGTGGCCTTCGTTCGAAACGGGTATATGTTCACGTAAAAACTAAAGAGAAGCATTCTCAGAAACTTCTGAGTGATGATTGCATTCAAGTCACACAGTTGAACCCTCCTTTTGATGGAGCAGTTTTGAAACTGTCTTTTTGTAGAATCTGTAAGTGGATGCGTGGACCTCTTTGAAGATTTCTTTGGAAACGGGAATATTTCCACAGAAAAACTAAACTGAAGCATTCTCAGAAACCGCTTTGTGATGTTTGTGTTCGAGCCGCAGAGTTTAACATTGCTTTTCATAGAGCAGTTTTGAAATATTCTTTTGGCAGAATCTGCAAGTGGACATTTGGAGCGCTTTCAGGCCTGTGGTGGCAAAGGCCTGAAAGCCTTTTCCTTTATCTTCACAGAAAGACGAGAGAGAAGCATTGTCAGAAACTTCTTTGTGATGATTGCATTCAACTCACAGAGTTGAAGATTCCTTTTGAAACAGCAGTTTCGAAACACTCTTTCTGTGGGATCCGCAAGGGGATATTTGGACCTCTTTGAAGGTTTCGTTGGAAACGGGATAATCTTCACCTAAAAGCTAAACGGAAGCATTCTCAGAAACTTCTTTGGGATGTTTGCATTCACCTCACAGAGTTGAACTTTCCCTTTGATAGCGCAGCTTTGACACACTTTTTCTACAATGTGCAAGTGGCTATTTAGCGGGCTTGGAGGACTGTGTTGGAAAAGGAAATATCTTCTCCTAAAAACGACATAGAAGCATTCTCAGAAACTGCTCTGTGATGATTGCATTCAACTCCCAGAGTTGAACATTCCTTTTGATAGAGCAGTTTGCAAACACTCTTTTTGTAGAATCTGCAAGTGGAGATTTGGACCGCTTTGAGGTCTGTGGTAGTGAAGGAAAGAACTTCATATAAAAACCAGACGGTAGCACTCTCAGAAAATTCTTTGTGACGATGGAGTTTAACTCAGGGAGCTGAACATTCGTTATGATGGAGCAGTTTCCAAACACACGTTTTGTAGAATCTGCAAGGGGATATTTGGACCTCTCTGAGGATTTCGTTGGAAACGGGATCAACTTCCCATAACTGAATGGAAGCAAACTCAGAACATTCTTTGCGATGTTTGTATTCAACTCACAGAGTTGAACCTTCCTTTGATAGTTCAGGTTTGCAACACCCTTGTAGTAGAATCTGCAAGTGTATATTTTGACCACTTTGTAGCCTTCGTTTGAAACGTCTATATCTTCACATCAAACCTAGACAGAAGCATTCTCAGAAAGTTTTCTGCGATGACTGCATTCAACTCACAGAGTTGAACAATCCTTCTGATGGAGCAGTTTTGAAACCCTCTTTCTTTGGAATCTGCAAGGGGATATGTGGACCTCTTTGAAGATTTCACTGGAAACGGGATCATCTTCACATAAAAACTAAACAGAAGCATTCTCGGAAACTACTTTGTGATGTTTGTATTCAACTCAAAGAGTTGAACTTTCCTTTTGAAAGAGCAGCTATGAAACACTCTTTTTCGAGAATCTGCAAGTGGACGTTTGGAGGGCTTTGAGGCCTGTGGTGGAAAAGGAAACATCTTCACACAAAAACCAGATAGAAGCATTCTCAGAAACTACTTTGTGAGGATGGCATTCAACTCATGGAGTTGAACAATCCTATTGATAGAGCAGATTGGAATCACTCTTTTTATAGAATCTGCAAATGGAGATTTGGACTGCTTTGAGGCCTACGGTAGTACAGGAAGGAACTTCATATAAAAGGCAAACGGAAGCATTCTCAGAATATTCTTTGTGATGATGGAGTTTCACTCACAGAGCTGAACATGCCTTTTGATGGAGCAGTTTCCAAATACACTTTTGGTAGAATCTGCAGGTGGATATTTGGAGCTCTCTGAGGATTTCGTTGGAAACGGGAATAATTTCCCATAACTAAACACAAACACTCTGAAGAAAGTTCTTCATGATGAATGCATTTAACTCGCAGAGATGAACCTGCCTTTGAGAGTTCAGGTTCGAAACACTCTTTCTGTAGAATCTGCAAGTGGATATTTGGACCACTGGGTGGCCTTCGTTCGAAACGGGTATATGTTCACGTAAAAACTAAAGAGAAGCATTCTCAGAAACTTCTGAGTGATGATTGCATTCAAGTCACACAGTTGAACCCTCGTTTTGATGGAGCAGTTTTGAAACTGTCTTTTTGTAGAATCTGTAAGTGGATACGTGGACCTCTTTGAAGATTTCTTTGGAAACGGGAATATTTCCACAGAAAAACTAAACTGAAGCATTCTCAGAAACCGCTTTGTGATGTTTGTGTTCGAGCCACAGAGTTTAACATTGCTTTTCATAGAGCAGTTTTGAAATATTCTTTTGGCAGAATCTGCAAGTGGACATTTGGAGCGCTTTCAGGCCTGTGGTGGAAAAGGCCTGAAAGCCTTTTCCTTTATCTTCACAGAAAGACGAGAGAGAAGCATTGTCAGAAACTTCTTTGTGATGATTGCATTCAACTCACAGAGTTGAAGATTCCTTTTGAAACAGCAGTTTCGAAACACTCTTTCTGTGGGATCCGCAAGGGGATATTTGGACCTCTTTGAAGGTTTCGTTGGAAACGGGATAATCTTCACCTAAAAGCTAAACGGAAGCATTCTCAGAAACTTCTTTGGGATGTTTGCATTCACCTCACAGAGTTGAACTTTCCCTTTGATAGCGCAGCTTTGACACACTTTTTCTACAATGTGCAAGTGGCTATTTAGCGGGCTTGGAGGACTGTGTTGGAAAAGGAAATATCTTCTCCTAAAAACGACATAGAAGCATTCTCAGAAACTGCTCTGTGATGATTGCATTCAACTCCCAGAGTTGAACATTCCTTTTGATAGAGCAGTTTGCAAACACTCTTTTTGTAGAATCTGCAAGTGGAGATTTGGACCGCTTTGAGGCCTGTGGTAGTGAAGGAAAGAACTTCATATAAAAACCAGACGGTAGCACTCTCAGAAAATTCTTTGTGACGATGGAGTTTAACTCATGGAGCTGAACATTCGTTATGATGGAGCAGTTTCCAAACACACGTTTTGTAGAATCTGCGAGGGGATATTTGGACCTCTCTGAGGATTTCGTTGGAAACGGGATCAACTTCCCATAACTGAACGGAAGCAAACTCAGAACATTCTTTGTGATGTTTGTATTCAACTCACAGAGTTGAACCTTCCTTTGATAGTTCAGGTTTGCAACACCCTTGTAGTAGAATCTGCAAGTGTATATTTTGACCACTTTGTAGCCTTCGTTTGAAACGTCTATATCTTCACATCAAACCTAGACAGAAGCATTCTCAGAAAGTTTTCTGCGATGACTGCATTCAACTCACAGAGTTGAACAATCCTTCTGATGGAGCAGTTTTGAAACCCTCTTTCTTTGGAATCTGCAAGGGGATATGTGGACCTCTTTGAAGATTTCACTGGAAACGGGATCATCTTCACATAAAAACTAAACAGAAGCATTCTCGGAAACTACTTTGTGATGTTTGTATTCAACTGCCAGAGTTGAACTTTCCTTTTGAAAGAGCAGCTATGAAACACTCTTTTTCGAGAATCTGCAAGTGGACGCTTGGAGGGCTTTGAGGCCTGTGGTGGAAAAGGAAATATCTTCACATAAAAACTAGATAGAAGCATTCTCAGAAACGACTTTGTGAGGATGGCATTCAACTCATGGAGTTGAACAATCCTATTGATAGAGCAGATTGGAATCACTCTTTTTGTAGAATCTGCAAATGGAGATTTGGACTGCTTTGAGGCCTACGGTCGTATAGGAAGGAACTTCATATAAAAGGCAAACGGAAGCATTCTCAGAATATTCTTTGTGATGATGGAGTTTCACTCACAGAGCTGAACATGCCTTTTGATGGAGCAGTTTCCAAATACACTTTTGGTAGAATCTGCAGGTGGATATTTGGAGCTCTCTGAGGATTTCGTTGGAAACGGGAATAATTTCCCATAACTAAACACAAACACTCTGAGAAAGTTCTTCATGATGAATGCATTTAACTCGCAGAGATGAACCTGCCTTTGAGAGTTCAGGTTCGAAACACTCTTTCTGTAGAATCTGCAAGTGGATATTTGGACCACTGGGTGGCCTTCGTTCGAAACGGGTATATGTTCACGTAAAAACTAAAGAGAAGCATTCTCAGAAACTTCTGAGTGATGATTGCATTCAAGTCACACAGTTGAACCCTCCTTTTGATGGAGCAGTTTTGAAACTGTCTTTTTGTAGAATCTGTAAGTGGATACGTGGACCTCTTTGAAGATTTCTTTGGAAACGGGAATATTTCCACAGAAAAACTAAACTGAAGCATTCTCAGAAACCGCTTTGTGATGTTTGTGTTCGAGCCACAGAGTTTAACATTGCTTTTCACAAAGCAGTTTTGAAATATTCTTTTGGCAGAATCTGCAAGTGGACATTTGGAGCGCTTTCAGGCCTGTGGTGGCAAAGGCCTGAAAGCATTTATTTATCTTCACAGAAAGACGAGAGAGAAGCATTGTCAGAAACTTCTTTGTGATGATTGCATTCAACTCACAGAGTTGAAGATTCCTTTTGAAACAGCAGTTTCGAAACACTCTTTCTGTGGGATCCGCAAGGGGATATTTGGACCTCTTTGAAGGTTTCGTTGGAAACGGGATAATCTTCACCTAAAAGCTAAACGGAAGCATTCTCAGAAACTTCTTTGGGATGTTTGCATTCACCTCACAGAGTTGAACTTTCCCTTTGATAGCGCAGCTTTGACACACTTTTTCTACAATGTGCAAGTGGCTATTTAGCGGGCTTGGAGGACTGTGTTGGAAAAGGAAATATCTTCTCCTAAAAACGACATAGAAGCATTCTCAGAAACTGCTCTGTGATGATTGCATTCAACTCCCAGAGTTGAACATTCCTTTTGATAGAGCAGTTTGCAAACACTCTTTTTGTAGAATCTGCAAGTGGAGATTTGGACCGCTTTGAGGCCTGGGGTAGTGAAGGAAAGAGCTTCATATAAAAACCAGACGGTAGCACTCTCAGAAAATTCTTTGTGACGATGGAGTTTAACTCAGGGAGCTGAACATTCGTTATGATGGAGCAGTTTCCAAACACACGTTTTGTAGAATCTGCAAGGGGATATTTGGACCTCTCTGAGGATTTCGTTGGAAACGGGATCAACTTCCCATAACTGAACGGAAGCAAACTCAGAACATTCTTTGTGATGTTTGTATTCAACTCACAGAGTTGAACCTTCCTTTGATAGTTCAGGTTTGCAACACCCTTGTAGTAGAATCTGCAAGTGTATATTTTGACCACTTTGTAGCCTTCGTTTGAAACGTCTATATCTTCACATCAAACCTAGACAGAAGCATTCTCAGAAAGTTTTCTGCGATGACTGCATTCAACTCACAGAGTTGAACAATCCTTCTGATGGAGCAGTTTTGAAACCCTCTTTCTTTGGAATCTGCAAGGGGATATGTGGACCTCTTTGAAGATTTCACTGGAAACGGGATCATCTTCACATAAAAACTAAACAGAAGCATTCTCGGAAACTATTTTGTGATGTTTGTATTCAACTCCCAGAGTTGAACTTTCCTTTTGAAAGAGCAGCTATGAAACACTCTTTTTCGAGAATCTGCAAGTGGACGTTTGGAGGGCTTTGAGGCCTGTGGTGGAAAAGGAAATATCTTCACACAAAAACCAGATAGAAGCATTCTCAGAAACTGCTTTGTGAGGATGGCATTCAACTCATGGAGTTGAACAATCCTATTGATAGAGCAGATTGGAATCACTCTTTTTGTAGAATCTGCAAATGGAGATTTGGACTGCTTTGAGGCCTACGGTAGTACAGGAAGGAACTTCATATAAAAGGCAAACGGAAGCATTCTCAGAATATTCTTTGTGATGATGGAGTTTCACTCACAGAGCTGAACATGCCTTTTGATGGAGCAGTTTCCAAATACACTTTTGGTAGAATCTGCAGGTGGATATTTGGAGCTCTCTGAGGATTTCGTTGGAAACGGGAATAATTTCCCATAACTAAACACAAACACGCTGAGAAAGTTCTTCATGATGAATGCATTTAACTCGCAGAGATGAACCTGCCTTTGAGAGTTCAGGTTCGAAACACTCTTTCTGTATAATCTGCAAGTGGATATTTGGACCACTGGGTGGCCTTCGTTCGAAACGGGTATATGTTCACGTAAAAACTAAAGAGAAGCATTCTCAGAAACTTCTGAGTGATGATTGCATTCAAGTCACACGGTTGAACCCTCCTTTTGATGGAGCAGTTTTGAAACTGTCTTTTTGTAGAATCTGTAAGTGGATACGTGGACCTCTTTGAAGATTTCTTTGGAAACGGGAATATTTCCACAGAAAAACTAAACTGAAGCATTCTCAGAAACCGCTTTGTGATGTTTGTGTTCGAGCCGCAGAGTTTAACATTGCTTTTCATAGAGCAGTTTTGAAATATTCTTTTGGCAGAATCTGCAAGTGGACATTTGGAGCGCTTTCAGGCCTGTGGTGGCAAAGGCCTGAAAGCCTTTTCCTTTATCTTCACAGAAAGACGAGAGAGAAGCATTGTCAGAAACTTCTTTGTGATGATTGCATTCAACTCACAGAGTTGAAGATTCCTTTTGAAACAGCAGTTTCGAAACACTCTTTCTGTGGGATCCGCAAGGGGATATTTGGACCTCTTTGAAGGTTTCGTTGGAAACGGGATAATCTTCACCTAAAAGCTAAACGGAAGCATTCTCAGAAACTTCTTTGGGATGTTTGCATTCACCTCACAGAGTTGAACTTTCCCTTTGATAGCGCAGCTTTGACACACTTTTTCTACAATGTGCAAGTGGCTATTTAGCGGGCTTGGAGGACTGTGTTGGAAAAGGAAATATCTTCTCCTAAAAACGACATAGAAGCATTCTCAGAAACTGCTCTGTGATGATTGCATTCAACTCCCAGAGTTGAACATTCCTTTTGATAGAGCAGTTTGCAAACACTCTTTTTGTAGAATCTGCAAGTGGAGATTTGGACCGCTTTGAGGCCTGTGGTAGTGAAGGAAAGAACTTCATATAAAAACCAGACGGTAGCACTCTCAGAAAATTCTTTGTGACGATGGAGTTTAACTCAGGGAGCTGAACATTCGTTATGATGGAGCAGTTTCCAAACACACGTTTTGTAGAATCTGCAAGGGGATATTTGGACCTCTCTGAGGATTTCGTTGGAAACGGGATCAACTTCCCATAACTGAACGGAAGCAAACTCAGAACATTCTTTGTGATGTTTGTATTCAACTCACAGAGTTGAACCTTCCTTTGATAGTTCAGGTTTGCAACACCCTTGTAGTAGAATCTGCAAGTGTATATTTTGACCACTTTGTAGCCTTCGTTTGAAACGTCTATATCTTCACATCAAACCTAGACAGAAGCATTCTCAGAAAGTTTTCTGCGATGACTGCATTCAACTCACAGAGTTGAACAATCCTTCTGATGGAGCAGTTTTGAAACCCTCTTTCTTTGGAATCTGCAAGGGGATATGTGGACCTCTTTGAAGATTTCACTGGAAACGGGATCATCTTCACATAAAAACTAAACAGAAGCATTCTCGGAAACTATTTTGTGATGTTTGTATTCAACTCCCAGAATTGAACTTTCCTTTTGAAAGAGCAGCTATGAAACACTCTTTTTCGAGAATCTGCAAGTGGACGTTTGGAGGGCTTTGAGGCCTGTGGTGGAAAAGGAAATATCTTCACACAAAAACCAGATAGAAGCATTCTCAGAAACTGCTTTGTGAGGATGGCATTCAACTCATGGAGTTGAACAATCCTATTGATAGAGCAGATTGGAATCACTCTTTTTGTAGAATCTGCAAATGGAGATTTGGACTGCTTTGAGGCCTACGGTAGTACAGGAAGGAACTTCATATAAAAGGCAAACGGAAGCATTCTCAGAATATTCTTTGTGATGATGGAGTTTCACTCACAGAGCTGAACATGCCTTTTGATGGAGCAGTTTCCAAATACACTTTTGGTAGAATCTGCAGGTGGATATTTGGAGCTCTCTGAGGATTTCGTTGGAAAGGGGAATAATTTCCCATAACTAAACACAAACACTCTGAGAAAGTTCTTCATGATGAATGCATTTAACTCGCAGAGATGAACCTGCCTTTGAGAGTTCAGGTTCGAAACACTCTTTCTGTAGAATCTGCAAGTGGATATTTGGACCACTGGGTGGCCTTCGTTCGAAACGGGTATATGTTCACGTAAAAACTAAAGAGAAGCATTCTCAGAAACTTCTGAGTGATGATTGCATTCAAGTCACACAGTTGAACCCTCCTTTTGATGGAGCAGTTTTGAAACTGTCTTTTTGTAGAATCTGTAAGTGGATACGTGGACCTCTTTGAAGATTTCTTTGGTAACGGGAATATTTCCACAGAAAAACTAAACTGAAGCATTCTCAGAAACTGCTTTGTGATGTTTGTGTTCGAGCCGCAGAGTTTAACATTGCTTTTCATAGAGCAATTTTGAAATATTCTTTTGGCAGAATCTGCAAGTGGACATTTGGAGCGCTTTCAGGCCTGTGGTGGAAATGGCCTGAAAGCCTTTTCCTTTATCTTCACAGAAAGACGAGAGAGAAGCATTGTCAGAAACTTCTTTGTGATGATTGCATTCAACTCACAGAGTTGAAGATTCCTTTTGAAACAGCAGTTTCGAAACACTCTTTCTGTGGGATCCGCAAGGGGATATTTGGACCTCTTTGAAGATTTCGTTGGAAACGGGATAATCTTCACTTAAAGCTAAACGGAAGCATTCTCAGAAACTTCTTTGGGATGTTTGCATTCACCTCACAGAGTTGAACTTTCCCTTTGATAGCGCAGCTTCGACACACTTTTTCTACAATGTGCAAGTGGATATTTAGCGGGCTTGGAGGACTGTGTTGGAAAAGGAAATATCTTCTCCTAAAAACGACATAGAAGCATTCTCAGAAACTGCTCTGTGATGATTGCATTCAACTCCCAGAGTTGAACATTCCTTTTGATAGAGCAGTTTGCAAACACTCTTTTTGTAGAATCTGCAAGTGGAGATTTGGACCGCTTTGAGGCCTGTGGTAGTAAAGCAAAGAACTTCATATAAAAAGTAGACGGTAGCACTCTCAGAAAATTCTTTGTGACGATGGAGTTTAACTCAGAGAGCTGAACATTCGTTATGATGGAGCAGTTTCCAAACACACGTTTTGTAGAATCTGCAAGGGGATATTTGGACCTCTCTGAGGATTTCGTTGGAAACGGGATCAACTTCCCATAACTGAACGGAAGCAAACTCAGAACATTCTTTGTGATGTTTGCATTCGTCTCACAGAGTTGAACCTTCCTTTGATAGTTGAGGTTTGCAACACCCTTGTAGTAGAATCTGCAAGTGTATATTTTGACCACTTTGTAGCCTTCGTTTGAAACGTCTATATCTTCACATCAAACCTAGACAGAAGCATTCTCAGAAAGTTTTCTGCGATGACTGCATTCAACTCACAGAGTTGAACAATCCTTTTGATGGAGCAGTTTTGAAACCCTCTTTCTTTGGAATCTGCAAGGGGATATGTGGACCTCTTTGAAGATTTCACTGGAAACGGGATCATCTTCACATAAGAACTAAACAGAAGCATTCTCGGAAACTACTTTGTGATGTTTGTATTCAACTCCCAGAGTTGAACTTTCCTTTTGAAAGAGCAGCTATGAAACACTCTTTTTCGGGAATCTGCAAGTGGACGTTTGGAGGGCTTTGAGGCCTGTGGTGGAAAAGGAAATATCTTCACTTAAAAACTACATAGAAGCATTCTCAGAAACTACTTTGTGAGGATGGCATTCAACTCATGGAGTTGAACAATCCTATTGATAGAGCAGATTGGAATCACTCTTTTTGTAGAATCTGCAAATGGAGATTTGGACTGCTTTGAGGCCTACGGTAGTATAGGAAGGAACTTCATATAAAAGGCAAACGGAAGCATTCTCAGAATATTCTTTGTGATGACGGAGTTTCACTCACAGAGCTGAACATGCCTTTTCATGGAGCAGTTTCCAAATACACTTTTGGTAGAATCTGCAGGTGGATATTTGGAGCTCTCTGAGGATTTCGTTGGAAACGGGAATAATTTCCCATAACTAAACACAAACACGCTGAGAAAGTTCTTCATGATGAATGCATTTAACTCGCAGAGATGAACCTGCCTTTGAGAGTTCAGGTTCGAAACACTCTTTCTGTAGAATCTGCAAGTGGATATTTGGACCACTGGCTGGCCTTCGTTCGAAACGGGTATATGTTCACGTAAAAACTAAAGAGAAGCGTTCTCAGAAACTTCTGAGTGATGATTGCATTCCAGTCACACAGTTGAACCCTCCTTTTGATTGAGCAGTTTTGAAACTGTCTTTTTGTAGAATCTGTAAGTGGATGCGTGGACCTCTTTGAAGATTTCTTTGGAAACGGGAATATTTCCACAGAAAAACTAAACTGAAGCATTCTCAGAAACTGCTTTGTGATGTTTGTGTTCGAGCCACAGAGTTTAACATTGCTTTTCATAGAGCAGTTTTGAAATATTCTTTTGGCAGAATCTGCAAGTGGACATTTGGAGCGCTTTCAGGCCTGTGGTGGAAAAGGCCTGAAAGCCTTTTCCTTTATCTTCACAGAAAGACGAGAGAGAAGCATTGTCAGAAACTTCTTTGTGATGATTGCATTCAACTCACAGAGTTGAAGATTCCTTTTGAAACAGCAGTTTCGAAACACTCTTTCTGTGAGATCCGCAAGGGGATATTTGGACCTCTTTGAAGATTTCGTTGGAAACGGGATAATCTTCACCTAAAAGCTAAACGGAAGCATTCTCAGAAACTTCTTTGGGATGTTTGCATTCACCTCACAGAGTTGAACTTTCCCTTTGTTAGCGCAGCTTCGACACACTTTTTCTACAATGTGCAAGTCGATATTTAGCGGGCTTTGAGGACTGTGTTGGAAAAGGAAATATCTTCTCCTAAAAACGACATAGAAGCATTCTCAGAAACTGCTCTGTGATGATTGCATTCAACTCCCAGAGTTGAACATTCCTTTTGATAGAGCAGTTTGCAAACACTCTTTTTGTAGAATCTGCAAGTGGAGATTTGGACCGCTTTGAGGCCTGTCGTAGTGAAGGAAAGAACTTCATATAAAAACCAGACGGTAGCACTCTCAGAAAATTCTTTGTGACGATGGAGTTTAACTCAGGGAGCTGAACATTCGTTATGATGGAGCAGTTTCCAAACACACGTTTTGTAGAATCTGCGAGGGGATATTTGGACCTCTCTGAGGATTTCGTTGGAAACGGGATCAACTTCCCATAACTGAACGGAAGCAAACTCAGAACATTCTTTGTGATGTTTGTATTCAATTCACAGAGTTGAACCTTCCTTTGATAGTTCAGGTTTGCAACACCCTTGTAGTAGAATCTGCAAGTGTATATTTTGACCACTTTGTAGCCTTCGTTTGAAACGTCTATATCTTCACATCAAACCTAGACAGAAGCATTCTCAGAAAGTTTTCTGCGATGACTGCATTCAACTCACAGAGTTGAACAATCCTTCTGATGGAGCAGTTTTGAAACCCTCTTTCTTTGGAATCTGCAAGGGGATATGTGGACCTCTTTGAAGATTTCACTGGAAACGGGATCATCTTCACATAAAAACTAAACAGAAGCATTCTCGGAAACTACTTTGTGATGTTTGTATTCAACTCCCAGAGTTGAACTTTCCTTTTGAAAGAGCAGCTATGAAACACTCTTTTTCGAGAATCTGAAAGTGGACGTTTGGAGGGCTTTGAGGCCTGTGGTGGAAAAGGAAATATCTTCACATAAAAACTAGATAGAAGCATTCTCAGAAACGACATTGAGGATGGCATTCAACACATGGAGTTGAACAATCCTATTGATAGAGCAGATTGGAATCACTCTTTTTGTAGAATCTGCAAATGGAGATTTGGACTGCTTTGAGGCCTACGGTAGTATAGGAAGGAACTTCATATAAACGGCAAACGGAAGCATTCTCAGAATATTCTTTGTGATGATGGAGTTTCACTCACAGAGCTGAACATGCCTTTTGATGGAGCAGTTTCCAAATACACTTTTGGTAGAATCTGCAGGTGGATATTTGGAGCTCTCTGAGGATTTCGTTGGAAACGGGAATAATTTCCCATAACTAAACACAAACACTCTGAGAAAGTTCTTCATGATGAATGCATTTAACTCGCAGAGATGAACCTGCCTTTGAGAGTTCAGGTTCGAAACACTCTTTCTGTAGAATCTGCAAGTGGATATTTGGACCACTGGGTGGCCTTCGTTCGAAACGGGTATATGTTCACGTAAAAACTAAAGAGAAGCATTCTCAGAAACTTCTGAGTGATGATTGCATTCAAGTCACACAGTTGAACCCTCCTTTTGATGGAGCAGTTTTGAAACTGTCTTTTTGTAGAATCTGTAAGTGGATACGTGGACCTCTTTGAAGATTTCTTTGGAAACGGGAATATTTCCACAGAAAAACTAAACTGAAGCATTCTCAGAAACCGCTTTGTGATGTTTGTGTTCGAGCCACAGAGTTTAACATTGCTTTTCATAGAGCAGTTTTGAAATATTCTTTTCGCAGAATCTGCAAGTGGACATTTGGAGCGCTTTCAGGCCTGTGGTGGAAAAGGCCTGAAAGCCTTTTCCTTTATCTTCACAGAAAGACGAGAGAGAAGCATTGTCAGAAACTTCTTTGTGATGATTGCATTCAACTCACAGAGTTGAAGATTCCTTTTGAAACAGCAGTTTCGAAACACTCTTTCTGTGGGATCCGCAAGGGGATATTTGGACCTCTTTGAAGGTTTCGTTGGAAACGGGATAATCTTCACCTAAAAGCTAAACGGAAGCATTCTCAGAAACTTCTTTGGGATGTTTGCATTCACCTCACAGAGTTGAACTTTCCCTTTGATAGCGCAGCTTTGACACACTTTTTCTACAATGTGCAAGTGGCTATTTAGCGGGCTTGGAGGACTGTGTTGGAAAAGGAAATATCTTCTCCTAAAAACGACATAGAAGCATTCTCAGAAACTGCTCTGTGATGATTGCATTCAACTCCCAGAGTTGAACATTCCTTTTGATAGAGCAGTTTGCAAACACTCTTTTTGTAGAATCTGCAAGTGGAGATTTGGACCGCTTTGAGGCCTGTGGTAGTGAAGGAAAGAGCTTCATATAAAAACCAGACGGTAGCACTCTCAGAAAATTCTTTGTGACGATGGAGTTTAACTCAGGGAGCTGAACATTCGTTATGATGGAGCAGTTTCCAAACACACGTTTTGTAGAATCTGCAAGGGGATATTTGGACCTCTCTGAGGATTTCGTTGGAAACGGGATCAACTTCCCATAACTGAACGGAAGCAAACTCAGAACATTCTTTGTGATGTTTGTATTCAACTCACAGAGTTGAACCTTCCTTTGATAGTTCAGGTTTGCAACACCCTTGTAGTAGAATCTGCAAGTGTATATTTTGACCACTTTGTAGCCTTCGTTTGAAACGTCTATATCTTCACATCAAACCTAGACAGAAGCATTCTCAGAAAGTTTTCTGCGATGACAGCATTCAACTCACAGAGTTGAACAATCCTTCTGATGGAGCAGTTTTGAAACCCTCTTTCTTTGGAATCTGCAAGGGGATATGTGGACCTCTTTGAAGATTTCACTGGAAACGGGATCATCTTCACATAAAAACTAAACAGAAGCATTCTCGGAAACTACTTTGTGATGTTTGTATTCAACTCCCAGAGTTGAACTTTCCTTTTGAAAGAGCAGCTATGAAACACTCTTTTTCGAGAATCTGCAAGTGGACGTTTGGAGGGCTTTGAGGCCTGTGGTGGAAAAGGAAATATCTTCACATAAAAACTAGATAGAAGCATTCTTAGAAACGACTTTTTGAGGATGGCATTCAACTCATGGAGTTGAACAATCCTATTGATAGAGCAGATTGGAATCACTCTTTTTGTAGAATCTGCAAATGGAGATTTGGACTGCTTTGAGGCCTACGGTCGTATAGGAAGGAACTTCATATAAAAGGCAAACGGAAGCATTCTCAGAATATTCTTTGTGATGATGGAGTTTCACTCACAGAGCTGAACATGCCTTTTGATGGAGCAGTTTCCAAATACACTTTTGGTAGAATCTGCAGGTGGATATTTGGAGCTCTCTGAGGATTTCGTTGGAAAAGGGAATAATTTCCCATAACTAAACACAAACACTCTGAGAAAGTTCTTCATGATGAATGCATTTAACTCGCAGAGATGAACCTGCCTTTGAGAGTTCAGGTTCGAAACACTCTTTCTGTAGAATCTGCAAGTGGATATTTGGACCACTGGCTGGCCTTCGTTCGAAACGGGTATATGTTCACGTAAAAACTAAAGAGAAGCATTCTCAGAAACTTCTGAGTGATGATTACATTCAAGTCACACAGTTGAACCCTCCTTTTGATTGAGCAGTTTTGAAACTGTCTTTTTGTAAAATCTGTAAGTGGATACGTGGACCTCTTTGAATATTTCTTTGGAAACGGGAATATTTCCACAGAAAAACTAAACTGAAGCATTCTCAGAAACTGCTTTGTGATGTTTGTGTTCGAGCCGCAGAGTTTAACATTGCTTTTCATAGAGCAGTTTTGAAATATTCTTTTGGCAGAATCTGCAAGTGGACATTTGGAGCGCTTTCAGGCCTGTGGTGGAAAAGGCCTGAAAGCCTTTTCCTTTATCTTCACAGAAAGACGAGGGAGAAGCATTGTCAGAAACTTCTTTGTGATGATTGCATTCAACTCACAGAGTTGAAGATTCCTTTTGAAACAGCAGTTTCGAAACACTCTTTCTGTGGGATCCGCAAGGGGATATTTGGACCTCTTTGAAGATTTCGTTGGAAACGGGATAATCTTCACCTAAAAGCTAAACGGAAGCATTCTCAGAAACTTCTTTGGGATGTTTGCATTCACCTCACAGAGTTGAACTTTCCCTTTGATAGCGCAGCTTCGACACACTTTTTCTACAATGTGCAAGTGGATATTTAGCGGGCTTGGAGGACTGTGTTGGAAAAGGAAATATCTTCTCCTAAAAACGACATAGAAGCATTCTCAGAAACTGCTCTGTGATGATTGCATTCAACTCCCAGAGTTGAACATTCCTTTTGATAGAGCAGTTTGCAAACACTCTTTTTGTAGAATCTGCAAGTGGAGATTTGGACCGCTTTGAGGCCTGTGGTAGTAAAGGAAAGAACTTCATATAAAAACTAGACGGTAGCACTCTCAGAAAATTCTTTGTGACGATGGAGTTTAACTCAGAGAGCTGAACATTCGTTATGATGGAGCAGTTTCCAAACACACATTTTGTAGAATCTGCAAGGGGATATTTGGACCTCTCTGAGGATTTCGTTGGAAACGGGATCAACTTCCCATAACTGAACGGAAGCAAACTCAGAACATTCTTTGCGATGTTTGTATTCAACTCACAGAGTTGAACCTTCCTTTGATAGTTCAGGTTTGCAACACCCTTGTAGTAGAATCTGCAAGTGTATATTTTGACCACTTTGTAGCCTTCGTTTGAAACGTCTATATCTTCACATCAAACCTAGACAGAAGCATTCTCAGAAAGTTTTCTGCGATGACTGCATTCAACTCACAGAGTTGAACAATCCTTCTGATGGAGCAGTTTTGAAACCCTCTTTCTTTGGAATCTGCAAGGGGATATGTGGACCTCTTTGAAGATTTCACTGGAAACGGGATCATCTTCACATAAAAACTAAACAGAAGCATTCTCGGAAACTACTTTGTGATGTTTGTATTCAACTCAAAGAGTTGAACTTTCCTTTTGAAAGAGCAGCTATGAAACACTCTTTTTCGAGAATCTGCAAGTGGACGTTTGGAGGGCTTTGAGGCCTGTGGTGGAAAAGGAAATATCTTCACACAAAAACCAGATAGAAGCATTCTCAGAAACTACTTTGTGAGGATGGCATTCAACTCATGGAGTTGAACAATCCTATTGATAGAGCAGATTGGAATCACTCTTTTTATAGAATCTGCAAATGGAGATTTGGACTGCTTTGAGGCCTACGGTAGTACAGGAAGGAACTTCATATAAAAGGCAAACGGAAGCATTCTCAGAATATTCTTTGTGATGATGGAGTTTCACTCACAGAGCTGAACATGCCTTTTGATGGAGCAGTTTCCAAATACACTTTTGGTAGAATCTGCAGGTGGATATTTGGAGCTCTCTGAGGATTTCGTTGGAAACGGGAATAATTTCCCATAACTAAACACAAACACTCTGAGAAAGTTCTTCATGATGAATGCATTTAACTCGCAGAGATGAACCTGCCTTTGAGAGTTCAGGTTCGAAACACTCTTTCTGTATAATCTGCAAGTGGATATTTGGACCACTGGGTGGCCTTCGTTCGAAACGTGTATATGTTCACCTAAAAACTAAAGAGAAGCATTCTCAGAAACTTCTGAGTGATGATTGCATTCAAGTCACACAGTTGAACCCTCCTTTTGATGGAGCAGTTTTGAAACTGTCTTTTTGTAGAATCTGTAAGTGGATACGTGGACCTCTTTGAAGATTTCTTTGGAAACGGGAATATTTCCACAGAAAAACTAAACTGAAGCATTCTCAGAAACCGCTTTGTGATGTTTGTGTTCGAGCCACAGAGTTTAACATTGCTTTTCATAGAGCAGTTTTGAAATATTCTTTTGGCAGAATCTGCAAGTGGACATTTGGAGCGCTTTCAGGCCTGTGGTGGAAAAGGCCTGAAAGCCTTTTCCTTTACCTTCACAGAAAGACGAGAGAGAAGCATTGTCAGAAACTTCTTTGTGATGATTGCATTCAACTCACAGAGTTGAAGATTCCTTTTGAAACAGCAGTTTCGAAACACTCTTTCTGTGGGATCCGCAAGGGGATATTTGGACCTCTTTGAAGGTTTCGTTGGAAACGGGATAATCTTCACCTAAAAGCTAAACGGAAGCATTCTCAGAAACTTCTTTGGGATGTTTGCATTCACCTCACAGAGTTGAACTTTCCCTTTGATAGCGCAGCTTTGACACACTTTTTCTACAATGTGCAAGTGGCTATTTAGCGGGCTTGGAGGACTGTGTTGGAAAAGGAAATATCTTCTCCTAAAAACGACATAGAAGCATTCTCAGAAACTGCTCTGTGATGATTGCATTCAACTCCCAGAGTTGAACATTCCTTTTGATAGAGCAGTTTGCAAACACTCTTTTTGTAGAATCTGCAAGTGGAGATTTGGACCGCTTTGAGGCCTGTGGTAGTGAAGGAAAGAAGTTCATATAAAAACCAGACGGTAGCACTCTCAGAAAATTCTTTGTGACGATGGAGTTTAACTCAGGGAGCTGAACATTCGTTATGATGGAGCAGTTTCCAAACACACGTTTTGTAGAATCTGCGAGGGGATATTTGGACCTCTCTGAGGATTTCGTTGGAAACGGGATCAACTTCC